>NC_000001.11:48947774-49250804 GCF_000001405.40 Homo sapiens
AAACAATCTGATTGAGTCATCTCACACTAAAGTATGAATGATGGATTGTCCTTTAAATTTTTTTTTTCTCTCTCTCTTTTTGTTTTAAAACAGGACAGCTGCTAAATACAGGTTTTTTGTTTTGTTTTTTTTTTTGAGATGGAGTCTCACTCGTGACCCAGGCTGGAGTGCAGTCGCGCAATCTCGGCTCACTGCAAGCTCCACCTCCCAGGTAATACAGGTTAATAGGGTACTAGAAACATACGTAGGTGAAACAGAAAATATCTTTCATAGCATCATCCCACGAAAGCAAGATGATTTTTCACAAAGGCTGGAAAACAGGTCCTTACAGAATATTTGGATCATCTCTTTTCACTTACAAATGTACAAAGGGATACCTAGAAAGGGCAAAAGACTTGTTTAAGGCACACAGCAAAGCCACGTCACAGATGGGACTGGAACAGATCCCTCCCTGCCCGGGTCCAGTGCTCCAGCTCTTTGCACGTGTGCCTTGCGCTTTGTCAGCAGTTTGTAAATCAAGCCCTCCTGCTCTCCCTTTGCTCTTGCTTCCTTTGCCTTCTCAGCCTGCCTTTCTTTCCCTGAGTCCCAGCGACAGCCTGCCTGCTGCAGCTGCCCTTGCTGAGCACTGCCACTCTGTAGATGGTTTTGCCGCCTTTCACTGATTCATCCACTTGCCATCTGCTTTCAGATTTCTTCTGAAAACCCCAGTGTTTTGGCTGTTTCCTGAGATCTGTCACGTCTTCCTCCCTACTAATGGGCTCAATAAACAGCTGCTTTAATTTAGCCTTCATCCATCTCCAGGCCATCATTTTCTGAAATTTATATCATCTATTTTTTACCCTCTTGCCTTTTTTGATTCACTAATTTCAGAGAATTAAATGTGTCTGAAAGAGCAAAGGTGAGGCAATGATGCCTTTTCTGAGGAATCCTAACTACAGTAGTCACTCCTTTATTCATATGCCATTTAGTTCAATGAAAATTCTTTGACACTTAGTATGTACAAAACACTGTGTAGGCAGTGAAGGATAGCTAAAGAAATGGAAGGCATTGTTGTGGTCCTGGTCATTGACATAAGAGATACATGCATAAAAGACTAAAAAAAAAAAAATTGAAAGGATGTCTGTTTGACGTGATAAAAAGGGAGGCTTGAATAGTGACAGAAACATGTATTGTGCACTCACTCTGTGTTACAGTATGCTAAAGTGGACGTTTCATCTGAGGAACCAGGAAATTAGAAATGTTGTTTCTGAAGACATACCAGAATTTATACAGAATTTCCAAGTACACATCTGGAAACTGAGTACAAGACTCTTGAAACCCCTTGCCCACTTCAAGTATCTAAAGGAAAAAAGGGTTGAAAATCAAAGAGAAGGTTTTATCAGGGGGAGTTTGAAGGCCTGGAGTCCCACATGCCACACCTCCAAAGGAAGGATCAGGGGGCACTTTTCCCTCACCTCTGCATAGGTAGAGGGGTGCACAGTGGGCACAATTCTGACTCCTGCCTGAGAAATCTAATGAGCAAAAGACTATGGGGAAAGTAAAGTAGGTAGACCGAGATTGGTCAATGATATCCAGTGACTGCCCAGGCAATAGATTCTGAGCAGATGGGTATGAATGGCAGATAGAATTGGTTTGATGCCATTTTGACTCCTGCACAGAGTCTATATACAGTGGATACCAGAAAAGCAGAAAATACGGAGGCAGCAACACTAGGAAGAATGGGACACATTCTCCATGTGATGGCTGCCTTTGAACAGAGGAGCCTCCAAAGAATCCACAAGAGCATCCATAAGAGAGGGAGTCAGCTACAAACATCTGCCAGGCATAGAGAAACTGAAGCCAGCTTAGGGGAGTGCCAGGCAAGTGATATCCTTCTGTTCTCTTTGCACTCCTTCCCTCTTCCCACTTCAACCTTGGTGAGCTAATGGAAAGACATGAGTGAAAATCAGAGAATGGCCAATGCTCCATCCCCAACCCAGTAAGCTCCTCACTGGAAGCAGGTGTCACCTGGGGGATGGAGGTACCGGGGAAGAAGACAACATTAAATCAAGTTCAGAGTTTTGATTACTGTCTGTAATTGAACATTTTAAATTACTGAATTGAAACTGTGTTTCTGTTTACCTAAACAGGAAATTCTCATCTAGGGCAGGTAAAAACTAACCCCTCTAAATAGGTCTGAACCTATAGGCAGAAGACAAAAATAAAGCTGCTTTTATGAATACACTCTGAGTCCAGCATATTATAACAATCTACTATTGGCTACACATATATTAACACACTCATACCTGACAACAATCTGGGAGTAATATTAATGGCCTCATTTATTTATTTATTTATTTTTGAGACATGTCTCACCCTGTCACTCAGGCTGGAGTGCAATGGTGTGATCTCGGCTCACTGCAACCTCCGCCTCCCAGGCTCAAGCAATTCTCCTGCCTCAGTCTCCTGAGTAGCTGGGGTTACAGGCGTGTGCCACCACACCTGGCTAACTTTTTGTATCTTTAGTAGAAAGGGGGTGTTTCACCATGTTGACCAGGCTGGTCTTGAACTCCTGTCCTCATGATCTGCCCACCTAGGCCTTCCAAAATGTTGGGATTACAGGCGTGAGCCACCGCACCTGGCCGACCTCATTTTAACAAATGAGAAAACTGAAACGTAGGGAGATTAAGTAACTTGCTCAAGGTCATCAGCTAGCCAAATGTAAGTACTTTTAAGCACTATAAACTTCCTTTGGGTGGGAATATATTTGATCCCTAGCTGTATCCTCAGAGCTCTACAGAGTGCCAATGGCTCAGTAGGTATGACAAATATTGTTTGAGAGTCTGATTTTAGAATGCTATGCTGGAAATAAGTGCATGAGAGAGTCTTTAGGTTTTTAAGAGCAGCCAGCTTGAGCCAAATGAGACGAATGAGGATTCATCAGGACCATCTTAAAAGGCTCCCAGCTCCCTTTTCTGGTCTCCTGGCCAGGCCATACCAACCATGCCCACATTTTGTCCTTTAGACACAATCTTATAATCTGCCCTAGCTTGCTGTTGCTTTTATATTGCTTTTTCCCAGGGGGTCCTTTACTCTCTTCTTCTTATTTAAACCTACTTCTACTATCCCCATCCCCATTATTTTCAGTTCCTCTAATTATGTCTTGGTACTTATAGCCTTAATATAACATTGTCCAACAGCCTTTTCTCAGGAACCTCAAAAATCCAGATAAAAAATGTCTAAGTAAACTAATATCATATAAGATTTAGAGACAACTTATCTTGTCCAAACTTTTCATTTTAGAGATTTAAAAAATCTTAGGTTCAGAGAGGGGAAGTAACTAGACCAAGGTAACACAGATGTCACCTTCGGAGCTAAGTCTAGACTCAGCTCTCTTATATCTTACCCCAGTGCTTTAGAGAAAGGACCAGTCAGTCCATGTGGACTGGCATGGTCAGCAAAAGCATCAGAAGGTAGGACTACTGTGTGCTGCATTATGTCTCAGTGTCTGGAAAGAATATCTTCTCTGGCGAGATTCTTAAGGTTTTGTGTGACTACACTAATCACATGTGACTACACTAATCACATGTGAAGAGAGTTGGAGGGGAAGCTCCTGTGTTTTACCTAAGCCACTTATGGAAAATACATGATAGGCCAAGTTAATTGCAATAGACTGAATGTTTGTCACCCCCATCCCTCCCCACATTCATAGGTTGAAATCTTAACCCCTAATGTGATAGTATTAGGAAGTAGGAACTTCAGGAGGTAATTAGATCATGAGGCTGGAACACTCATGAATGAGATTAGTGCCCTTATACAAGTGACCATGGAGAGGTCTCTCATTCTCTTTCTGCCATGTGAGGATATAACAAGAAGATGGCAGTCTGTGACCCAGAAGAGGGCCCTCAACATTACCCATCATGCTGGCATCCTGATCTCAGACTTCCAGACTCCCGAACTGTGAGAAATAAATTTATGTTATTCATAACTCACCCACCCTATGGTATTTTATGATAGCAGCCTGAACTGACTACAACATTACCTCAACTGTGATTAGTATTTTTGATGAGAATTGTTGAACAAATAGGAAAAGCTAACAGGAAGTGTTGAGGAGAAACACTTTCTTTGATTTATGTCTACAATGGCCTTATGAGGGAAGCATTATTTTCTCTATTTTAAAGATGAGAAAACAAAACCTTTGAGAAGCTGGATAATTTGCCAAGGATACAAAACTAATAAATGAAGAAATCTCAAGCTGAAGCTAAGTTTTGTCTAATTTCAAAGCTCCAGTTCTTTTTGTTTTGTAGCTTGTAAATGGATTCAAGAGGTCATTACTAAAGATAAATGTGTTTAATGAAAGTTAATAAAGCAATAACAGTATTACTGGAACAAGTGCACAATGTCTCCAGAAAAGTACTTTGAGTGAATAACACGTTTATCCATTTATTTGCTCATTTTATTCACTTATTTGTTTAACACATATTAATTGAGCTTTTACCAACTGCTAGGCACTATGCTAGGCATTTAGGAGACAAGCTTGGGCAAAAAGGCTTTACCCTTTGGAGCTTACATTCTAATACAGAGTAGAGGAAAATCAAAGAATGGAGAGAATGAGCAAGATAATATCAGATAATAATAACAGATATGAAGGAAATAAATCAGAATGATATGATAGTAAGTAGAATGAATTAATGGAAAGTGAGAAGAATGGAGAGAAGCTAATCAAATAAAGTGGTTAGTGAAGTCCTCCCGGAGGACGCTGGGGTAAGATTCAAAAGCAAGAGACTAAATGAATGGAATGAATGTTCATATTCTCGCAAACACACAAGACAAATGCAGAGAAAATGAGATGCTGTCCTCTCTCTCCTGGTGATCTCGCCTCTGGTTTTGAATAGAGGAAGAAGGAACAATGAGGCAGAGAGCTCCAAGGCAGAGAAGTGTAATGTAGATAGGTGGAAGATGATGGGCTTTGGAATTGGATAGATCCCAGGCTATAGACCAAGCTTGTCCAACTCACAGCCTGTGGGCCACACACAGTCCAAGATAGCTTTGAATGGGGCCCAACACAAGTTCATCAACTTTCTTAAACCATTATGAGATTTTTTTGTGATTTTTTTTTTTAGCTCATCAGCTATCATTAGTGTTAGTGCATTTTATGTGTGGCCCAAAACAATTCTTCTCCTTCCAATGTGGCCCAGGAAGCCAAAATACTGAACATTCCTGGACTTTGGATGAGTTCTTTAGCCACTGACACTGTTTCCGTGCGTGAAAATGGTGATAGTTCTTCCTTTCTAGGATGTCTGAGGATCAACTGAGATAATGAACAGAATATCATTTCTCAGTTGCCAGCAACAGAAGCTAACTGGCTGATTAAACATAAAGGGAATTTATTAATTGAATCTCGGTAGCTCACACAATGAGCTGAAGGTCCAGAGAACCAGGCTTAAGGCTAAACTCCATGCCCAAAACCATACTGCCAAAGTAGTCTGATGAGAAAACCATAGTTTCTATCCCCATCACTAAGTACCAGATGCTACAGTTAACACTACTGCCACTTCTGGGCCACCGATTCAACTTTATTGCAACTACTATGCTGCCAGCACTAATGATGTTGCAGGGCCAGGAACTCAAGATTACCTCTACTGCCTAGGCCTTACAACTTGCTTGCCTCAGAATTGATTGCTTGTGTGGTGTGTCTGATTGACGGGGCTTAGGTCACACATCTGTGCTCTAGCTGCAGGAGAGGCTGGAGAAGTGAGTTTTTAACTTCTATCTTGATGAGGAAGGACTCATGAAGAAGAGTATTCAAAAGTCAGAAAATATGACAAGTAACTACATAGAAAGAAGGTTCCTAGCACAGTGCCTGGGACCCAGCAGATGCTCAGTGAAAGTGAGGTTTTTTCCTTCTTTCAGTTGCACAGACTTCTATCCATCTGATCCTTAGCTCTGAGGAGGTATTAATAATGCTGTATGGGTAGAAGAAAAGGCCACCATGTACTATTTAAGATTCCCAGAGAGGAATCATAAATTTAGCCTGTGCTATAGACACCTTCCAAAGAGACGGGCTGCTAACTGGGACTTGGCTCAGAGCAGGAACAACGTGCTTGGCATTTGCCTAAATCTAGCCTAGCTTAGAGGTAGAGTAGCCTGATTAAATGAGCTAAGTTCATCTATCACCAAAGATTGGGAGAAGAAACATAAAAAGACAGACCAAGGGTCTTCAGCAGACAAATGATGAGTAGTACGATTGTTCTAGCTGCCCCGAGCAGAGTGCTTAGGGGGCTTCAGACATAGTAGTGCCTGCTAGGCCACACCCTTCCTTCTCTATCTGTATTCCATCTCATAACAGGATGTATGCCTCAGTTTCCTGATTTGCACTTCAATTCCCTCTTCTTGCCACTTCTTTTGCCCTTTGGGACCAAAGACCAGCTCTGAATCCCGGAAGACTTGAAAACCGGTCAAGAACTTACCAAAACTGTTCCATATGTCAGGTTCCCTCATCCCAGATAAGACTCTCCCAGAAATAAACCACATCATAGATGAAAGCCATTTTGATGCTCTAATTTATAGGTGAAATATATACAAGGCACTTTCTTGCACATTATCAAAATTGATTCCAATGGCATCTCTGTGAGTTTTAGGTTATTACATTAAACACTTGTTGAATGCTATTCAGTCTTTATTATGTCAGGCACTGTGCAGAGTCACAGAGAGCAGAAAGTGACCTGCCCAAGAGCACAGAGCAACTTTTTGTATTCTTCTATTTTGCCTTAAAGGTTGTTAAGATCAAATGAGATACTATGTAGAAAAGTGCTAAATAAAAGCATGAGGTTATTATTATTAGTGTGGTTATAACATATGGATTTTGTTTCTAAGCCATTGCTCTAAAATTGTGGGGAACATAACAGAGGCATAAACTTCTATGAGTATGATGTAAACTTGAGCTGTGCCTCAATGTCCCTCTGATCCCACAGCTTTGTTTCTATATGACTACCTTTCCTTGCCCCATTTCTTCCCTCCCCTTCTCTAATCACGTTATTTCCAGACAGGAATAAAGCATTGTTGTCCTGGAAATTAGTACACTACAGATCTGGAAGGTAAAGGAATTTTAGAGGATAAAGACAGCACTGACCTCAAGAGATCAGTGAGAATTATATCAGATAATGTATATATAGCATATGGTAAGTGATATCTGCTATTATTACCTTCATTTTAAAAATAAGGAAAATAGGGCTTAGCGTGATTAAGTGGTGTGCACAGGGGCGTAAAGCTATTAAGAGGGATGAGAAGATTCAGAATTGGGCCTGTATTTCCCTGTGCTGCACTGTTTGTCTGTAGAGCTATACACATGCTTCAAGCTTAGTGCACATCCTTCCCCTTCTTCCAAGCTTCTCAGAGCTATGGGAGCAGAATAAATGTCCTCCTCCATGGCTCACCCTTGCTCTGGTCCTAGATGAAAAACGTCTGAGTTGGGAGGGATATCAAGGTGACGCAGACATTTTTAACCACAGTTATAATATTTTTGATAAGTGGTCACCCTTATGGGTAATGCTGCAGTTGAGCTTTAGACAGAAATCCTTCCTTTATGTGTTTGTTGACTTCATTCCCGGAGTAGCAGTAAGACAGATGGGCTGATGAATATGAAGGCTGAGGCCTGGCACCCAATGAAGGATTTCCTCTCTCTCCTCCTTTCCTTGTGTTAGCTCTTTATCACAGGCTATCTCTTATTTGAAAACTTTGTATGCCATTTTTGTTTTTATTGTTGTTGTTGTCATTGTTTTAGAGACAGGGTCTCACTCTGTTACCAAGGCTGCAGTGCAGTAGTGCAATCATAGCTCACTACAGCCTCAAACTCCTAGCCTCAAGTAATCCTCCCACCCGGGCCTCCAAAAGCACTGGGATTACAGGCATGAGCCACTATGCCTGGCCCCTGGGCCTCTAGTTTGTTTACCTTGGTATAATTGAAAAAACGAGAAGCTAGGCAGTCCCAGATTTAAATTTCGGATTTGCCCGTGGCTGGATGACCCTGGGAAAAAGTTTTAGCCTCCTAAGTCTGAATCTCCACCAGTGAAACAAAGAGAATACTGTGAGGAATATGGTATAACACAGGTGTAAAATGTCCAGCAAACCATGTGGAAAATACAGAGTATTCAGTAAACAGTAGCTGGGAGTCATTAATCATTAACTATTATTATTACCTTGCTAGACTGAGCTTTCACAGTGGCTGTCTGCCCTGACCCTGGCTCTAATTGGATCTGGCCTTTCCTTGTTTGCTGCAATAGGGAGCAAAAAAGGCTTGCCTTGGGCATTAGGCCCTGTTGCATTTGCCTAGATTTTCCTTCTTTTCCAAGGCCTTTTCTTGCTCTTGTCTTTCTGCTGGTAACAAACTGCCTTGGATTACTTATAAAACCCAAAACATGGCCAATGCAGGACTGCTTTGGATTTAGTGTGGGATGACCCTACACATTGAATTTCTTGGCCCTCAGTGGCATCTGTCCAGTACATAGACATGCCAACTGTTTACTTCAATCTCAAGTACCCCAACTCCCTTTCCTGGAAAGACAGAAGCCGTAAATCTTAATGTATTCAAAACTCCAGTGCTAATAGCAACAGACAAAATTGCTTTGCTTCAGATAAGCACTATATTTTAAAAGTTACATTACAACCAATCAATGGCTTTCCATCACAAGAGCCATTTTCTTATAGAAATATTTAAAAGAACCTCATACCTTTCTTTAAAAATTTTCCCAATTAAAAACATAACTGCAATTGCTTACAGAAAAGTGGAAGAGAGACTGGGGAAGGGAGACTCAGAGGTTACAAGTAGAATCAGAGAAAAGGAAGAAAGAGGTTTGTAATCATTCCTAGGAAAGTAGATTGAGAGATTCATTCAGTCATTCAAAAAACATTTACTAATACTTACTCAACTAACTCTGATTTAGGCTCTGATTAGGGGCCGCAGCCATAGAAAGGAAAATATGGCCCTTTTCCTCAAAGAACTTGCTGACTAGAATAGCAGGCAGATAGGAAACAAAAAATAATGATCAGTGTGATAAGTTCAACAGTGTGAGACAATAACAATATTCCCAAAAGGCCAATGGCAGGACACACACCATGTTTTGCTTGGGTTTGATGCTTTATAGAGGAAGTAAATTTACTTATCTAAATTTGTAAATATTTAATTTTTAAATATTTCAAATATATCTAAAAATAGACTAACATAATGAATGGCATACTAGTCAATCAATTCCTAACATTTTCCCATATACTTCATATTTTTTAAAGAAACAAAACACTACAAATATGGGTTTAAACTCCCATGTTTTAACCCAACCCTTCTTTTATATAACAGGGGTAAACACTGCCCTGAAAATTTGTGTTTATCATCATTCCCATACATTTTTTGCTATTATTACATATATATGTACCTATAAGCAAAATAAAACATCCACACTTTCAAACTGTATATAAGTGGCATCATATTGTACTTGTCAACCTAAAGTATACTTTTTTCCTTTTATAGTATGCTTTAGAACTTAGCTGTGTTGATATTTACAGCTCTAGTTCATGTATTCAACTTCGGTATAGTAATGCAATGTGTATGATCTGACCAAATGTATCTATGATCATAAGGTTTACAAATTTTGTTATTGCAAATAATGCTGTGACTAAAGAAATCTGACTACTGTACATGTGTGACATTCTCTAGAAATGGAATGGGTGGCTAGTAAGATTTAAGCATCTTTGGCTCTACTAGGTCATGCTACATTACTTTACAAAGTGATTGTGCCAATTTATTTGTACTCCTCTCACCAACAACAGATGATTTCCCATCTCTCCAGGTCTTCACTAACACTTCTTTCTGTGCGTTATCCACAAGGCTGTCCCACAGCTGCTTCTCTTCCACTCCCCAGCCCCTAAAAAACAATGTACTTAAAATACCAAGAGTACTTCCTATGTTCTGAATTAGCTCTGGCTGATACAGCATCTCACACCAACATTGACTTCAGTGATTTCCTAACTGAAGGGCTCCCTGATTCCAACAACTGCCCTGGAAATGATGATCAATCAATCAATTAATCATCAATCAATTCATCACAGCCAGAGATCTTTCCAAAACACAACTCTGACCGAATCACTCTCCTCTGGTCAAAACTCTACATTTTTCCTCAGGATAAACTTCAGGATCCTTGGCATAACAGTCCACAGTCTGACCCCTAATGACTTCTGCAGGCTTGTTTTTTTTTTGTTTGTTTGTTTTGTTTTTTGTTTTTTGTATTTTTTTTAGTAGAGATGGGGTTTCACCGCGTTACCCAGGATGGTCTCGATCTGCTGACCTCGTGATCCGCCTGCCTCGGCCTCCCAAAGTGCTGGGATTACAGGCGTGAGCCACTGCGCCTGGCCTCTGCAGGCTTGTTTTTTGCCACTCTCTTCCTCTTCTTCATGTGCCATTAACACCTGTCTTTAGTTCCCTGCACATGCCATGATGTTTCTAGCTTAAGGATTTTTGCTCATGCTGCTCCTTTCCCTGTGAATGCCTTTCTGCTCCTCAATTCCACTTCAGAGAGGCTAACTTTTCAACAAATGTTCTTATTCTCTCTTCTGCCACCATAGTATAGAGCTGTCACTGAGAAGTATCTGCTTAAGAAGGGACTACATTGTCCAGTCCCTATAACAGTTAGATCATCTGAATGAGTTACAGCCAATGCAATATGAGTAGAAGTGATGTATACTACGTTTAGGGCTGCCCCATAAAAACCTATTACATATTAGAGCCTCAGTATGGAAGAAACCTGGCCCCTGAATCACTAGCATTACAATCTTTACAGCAAGGGAAGTCCTGGTCTTGGTCTCCCACATCAGGAGTCCTGAGTTTTGGAGTGCCTTTCTTGAAATTTTCTAGGATTTCTTAGTACCTGGGACTGGCCAGGGCTGGCAGTGTTATCTGGGCAGGGTGCCCTAAGCTTAGACCACTCCTCATATTTCCCTCTTGGGAGTGTTCTCTGACCCCCTAACTAGGTCTAGCTTCATGAACACAGAGCCCCATGCTTTATGCTTGGTTCAATGCTCTGCTGTTGCCATCTTGGAGTTCTTAACAATTTTTTAACAAGAGGACCCATGTTTTTATTTTGCACTTAGTTCTATGTCATTCTCTCATTCTCATTAGCCAACCATCTGTATTTTACTCATCTGTTCATATGTTTGCCTCTCCTATTAGACTATAGACTCCTTAAGGGCAGGGATTTCTGCCCATGAATCTTAGCCTTTAGCATCACACTCAGGGCCTGGAGAATAGAAGTATTCCACAAGTGATTTTTAAATCAATACCATTTTGTGAGGGAGGCATCTGGATAGCGTAGGAAGAGCACAGGAATGATATGACATGGATTATATTGCTAACTTTCCAACTATTTTCCTATATAATCTTAAACCATTTTCCTCTCCTGAGCTCAAATATCCTTAGGCATAAATTGGAGATTATAATACCTACTTTTCATGGCTTTCCTGATGAATAAATATAAAATATGAGAAGTACTTCACAAACTCCCTGAATCATAGGTGATGTTCAAAAGATGGTAGTTTTTATACTAGTAGATGCTCAATAAATACTTGTTATTTAATAATTAATCCAGCAATTATTTGAGAACCTACTATGTGCTGGGCATTGTTTGGGGCACTAGAAATATAGTAATGAATGTCATAGCTCTCCAGGAGTTTATGCTTTAATAGAAGAAAATATCAATTAAAAAATTGACACAAAGGACACAAAGGACCACAAGGCAGAGTAAGAGAGACTGGAAATGCTAAAGGGGTCAAGCCCCTAAAGGATCTTAGATAGGATGGTCAGGGAAAGCACTAGTGATAAGGTAACCTTTCAGCAGGGACATAAAGGGAGAGAAGGAATCTTTGAGCAGAGACATGAAGAGAAGAGGTGAGCCATGAGAATATCTAGAAAGAATATTCTGGGTACAGACCAGTGATTATGAACATTTTGAAGCAAGAATATGCTTGGTGAGTGCATGGAGCAGCAAAGAGGCCAGTGTGGCTACAGCAGAGTAATCAAGTGAGAGGGAGGTGAAGAATAGATCAATGAGGTAGGAGGTAAGAAACAGATCATGTAGGGCCTTGTAGGCCACAGTAAGAAGACTTTCATGTTGTTTGTTTGTTTGGATGAGTGAGATGAGAAGCCACTGAGGGATTCTTAGCAGAGAACTGTCACAATCTGACTTTCATTTCAGAAGAATCACTCTGGCTTTCAGGTGTAAAATAAATCATAGTGAGTGTATATGAGGAAGAGCAGGAGAAGGAGGCAACAGCAGAATCAGGGCCACCAGTTAGTAGGCTATTTCAAGAGTACAGGACACATATAATGATGGTTTGGGACAAGGAGGTAAAGATGAAGTGATGAGAGTGAATAGGAATATGGATATATATTGATCATAGAACCAATAAGATATTGGTGGAAAGGCTATTGGAAAAGAGAGAGAGGAATAAAAGATGATTTCAAAATTATTAGCGTTGCCATTTACAGAAATGGGGGAGACTTTGGGGAAGTGGTTTGGGGGATTAGAAATTATGTTTGCTTTTGGACAAGCTGTACTTCATATGCTTATCCAAGCCAAGATATTGAGTTAACAATTGGATGTATGATTCTGCAGTTCAGGAAAGAGGTCTAAATAGAGACAATAAATTTAGGAGTCATCAGCTAACATATGGTATTTTAAGCCATGAGAGTGGATGAAATCATCAAGGATGTAATACTGACTAAGAAGAGACCAAAGAACAAGCTCTGGTGTATTTCAAAATCTAGAGATCAAGGGAATGAAAGGAAACCAGCAAAAGGAGACCTGGAAAGAGAATTAAAAGTGGTTTCTTAAAGCCAAAAAAGAGTGCAATTTGAAAGTATGAATGGTCAGTTGTGTTAAAAGCTTCTGGTTTTATTACTTCATCATGGAAAGTATTGACATAGAATATAGAATACTCTGTCATGAAATATATTCTGCTATAGAGTTAGTAGACGCAGGCTCAAACCCATTAGCTGCTTCCTTTATCAAATGTGAATATGAATTTCTGAATACTATTTTCTCAAATTGCTATGGGTCATATATAAAATAATAGTTGTGAAAACATTTAATGAAATACTTTACTGTTCAACTATCTATAATACACACTCTGCAATTAGGACCCTTAATTGTTCTTGTAGCTAAGGCCTCACCTAGCACACTCATTGACACCAGCTCTATACTAGGACCCTAATCTGGGATATGAGGACAGAGACAGTACCACATACCACTGTTCTCTGCCCTTGGGCAGATCCCAGTCTGGGGTGTGTGTGTGTGTGTGTGTGTGTGTGCGTGTATGTGTGTGTATGTGTGTATGTACAGCTGTGGAGGGATGCCTAGAACACTGCAGGAACATGGAGGAACTGCAGGGCAGGGTAAGAGAAATTGGTAGTAAAATGACAGCCCCAAGACACCACAAAAATTGGAAAAGAGGAAATATTCTGGGCTATTCATTTCCTGAGCATAAATCATGGAAGTGGCAGCTGGCTCCTGAAATGCCAGTCATTTTTATCTCTCTCACCTTCTGACTCACTTGGAGCATCAGCACTGTTAGCTGAATCAATACTTTCTCCTTGACCCAAGCAATTGATTTTCACAATATGCTTCTTTGTCAAAGAAGACCAAGAAGTAGAAATGCAGAAAGACCGTTACACTCCCTGAGAGAGAGTAAAGAACAGCAAGGGAAAACTGTGTGTTGGCGCAGAAGTGGACTACAGGGTCACAGTAAGCTCAAGGCTGGGGATTCTAGGAAGCGGGAAGGTTGAGAAAAGAGCAACCAAGGGAGCCATCCCAGGAGGATCCTGGCATCACTGTGCAGTGCTGCCATCAGCAAGAGGAAAGGAATTCACATTGGGAAGCCCAGGACTAGGCAGCCAGTAAGTGACACAGAGCAAGGCAAGGAAACAAGCTGCATTTCCACCAGGCTGACAAAAGAGGCCAGGACAACAGCAGTTAGAACAATATGAACCTTTTCCAGAGGCTAAGGAGGCCTGGGTCTCTGCCCTACAGCCTACTTCACCTAAGATCAGGAGCCACCTGACAGTCACTTACAAGCTCCTCACATCCAGGTCCACAGCGGGGAAAGTACAGTCCTTTCAAAACCAGTGATCTCAATTCTGGCTACAAATACCAATCCCTGGGTATGGATTCTGATTCAATGGATGAGAAGGGAGGCAATTGGTATTTTTTAGAGGCTCTGTAAGGATTCCCATGTGCAGTCAATGTATAGAACCACAGACTTAGACCACCCTGAAAAGCAACCTGGTTCACTTAAAAGATCCCATCCATCCATCCATCCATCCATCCATCCGTCCATCCATCCATCATCCATCCAACAGGTATTTGTTGAATGTTACGAAGTACTTAGACTTGGATGAAAATCACAACCCAGATACTTATTAGCCATGTGATGTTGGCACATTACTTCTTTTAACTTAAATTTCTTTAAAATAGGAGTAATAATACTACCTATTTCACAGGGTTGTTTAGAAGCTCACAAGAAATTACATGCTAGAAATGCTTTCTAGTAATAATCACTCAATACTTGCACATTTTCCTACTCCTTTTCTTAATTAATTGGAAAATGGAAGAGCTGGCATTGGGGAGGGGAAGCAGAATGTAAAGAGCGCTTATGCTATGACTCACAGGGACACGGGAATCAATACCAAGTTAGCCTATTGTTGGTCATTGTGTTTCTGTTCATGTAACTAGAGCAATTAGGACTCTGCATTGTTCTTGTAGGTCTCAGGTAGCACACAGTTCTTTGGGACCTGGGGTCCTGCCATGCTCCCAGAAGTTGTATAAGACCTGGATTATTCGGGCCTTGCTACCTACCTATGCATAAACTGCTAGTTCTGTGCATAGGCCTGCACTTGGCAGGACTGGAGGGGCACAGACTTGAGTGTGGCATACTTACATTTAAGCTGGTTCAGTAACTTATGAGTAAGCCATTTAACATCAGAACATCCATTTCTTCAATTCTATATTGAGAATATGATTACTGATTCAGCTCACAGACTCCAGAGTTAAGCATCCTGGGTTGAGTCTTGATTCTGTTACTCTTTTCTCTTGTAAAGTGGAGATAATAACAATATGTACCTTATGAAGCTGTGGTGAAGATAAAATAATCCACTAAGATGTTTAAAACACTATCTGGCATGTAGTAGGCTATCAATATTATTTTTACTATTATTATCATTACCTCTACGTGTTTGTCTTAAACCATTTTCTGCTGCTATCACAGAATACCACAGACTGGGTAATTTTCTAAGAACAGAAGCTCATGCTTCTGGAGGCTAGGAAGTCCAAGAGCATGGTGCCAGTGTCTGGTGAGGGTAAACCCATGGTAGAAGGCAGAAGCAAGACAAAAGACAAAAAGGAAGCCACATTCCCAAAATAACTAACCTACTCTCCTGACAACAGCCTTAATCCATTCATGAGGGCAGCCTTAATCTGTGCATAACCTAATCAACTCTTAAAGGTCCCATCTCTTAATACTGTCACAATGGCACTTAAATTTCAACATGAGTTTTAAAGGGGATATTCAAACTATAGCACTCCTTGAATGCCCATGGAAGCCTATGATCAGCTGAGCAGCCTCACTGCCAATATAAGCTTCAAAACACAGATAATTAATCCATTAAGGCAGCAGCGTCAATGACAACTTAAAATGTGTAGAATTCATCTTTTTTTTTTTTTTTAATTTCCAGACCTGTCATCTCTCACATGATAATGGCTTCCAGGCAGGCCCAGTATTCTGTATGATGTTCCTGGGGAACTCCCATAGGGGCTCCTGAAGGTGGTATGAAAGATGGAATCCTTACCAGAGCTTTTCAGAAAAGGGGAAATAAATGACCTCACAGCATCCCTTCTACTCATCCTGTGCCTCTGTGGCTCATCAAGTGGCCATTTTGTGCCCTGAATGCCTAACTATTGAGGCTTGAGCAACAGATTAAGGTCAAAAGGAGCTTATTAGCTGACTTAGTAATGACTATTGTTGATAGAAACACTCTTACAAATAGCATTTTACAGTTTACAAAGTCCTTTCCTATATATCATTTCACTGGATTCATTCATTCAATCATTCACCAAACACTCACTGGGTATTTACTATGTGCAAGGCTCTGTGTAAGGTAACAATCAGTCAACAAAATATATTTAAATGCTGAGCATACAGTAGCAAACAAGTCTCCAGATATGAATCACAAAAATTCACAATCAAAATCACAGAAGTTGTATCAGATTAAAGAATAGGCAAGACACAGGTCCTGTGATGGAGTCAGGGTAGGTGTAGGACATGCTACAAGCAAAAGAGTGACAGTTCTATCTGGGAAGGATTGGACAAGAAAGACTTCATACCTGGGACCCATGTCTTAGGACAAAATGTTAAGTTCCAACTGATCCTACTGCCATACCTGAGCCAGTTCTGCACCTGGTTCTCCTAGACGATGGAGGCCCACTCGTGTGCCTGATCTCCGAGCAATATCCACTCCTTGGTTTATCCAAATCTGTGTGCTATAATTGCTCCTGTAAGGTTTAGAATTTTCAAAGTATGGTTGCCAGCTCAAAATCATAGTTATACCTTTAACAAACAGGCATAATATTTACTACTCTTTGAATCCCACAGGATTACTATGAGCATTACATGAGATCATGGATAGAGATATAATGCCAATGATATAAAGGGCCCTTTTTGAATTCTTAATATGTACCAGACATCAAGTACTTTATGCAAATCTTTGCTCATCTTCACATTTTTTATACATAGATATGAATTCCTTCTCTTTTATAGAAGTTCAGTGACTTATCCAAGGTCATATAAGTAGAAAGCAGCAGAGTTTATCTACTGCCAAAAGCCATTTTATTATTATGTGTCTCTTTCCTCTATATCACATTGCCTCTCCAAAGTGAAAATAAATAAATACATACATACATACATACATACAATCACAAATGCAGCACCTGCCATTTGCCAGGCACCAAAATAGGCATTTTGTTTGATATGAAACTCACAACAAGATAGCTCTTTTTAAACAGGTATCTTTTTTCAAAAAGATTTAAACACTAAGGCAACTGATGCTCAGAGAGGATGAAAAAAAATCAAACAGTTTGTTGATGGTAAAGCCAGGGTTTGAACCCAAGTTGTTGCCTCAAAAGTTGTTGTCTTTCCACTATATCACACTACCTCCCAAGATCCTCAGTTTGCTGCTAGCTGCCTATTGCTTTCCTTCCTTGGTACTTACTTTTTCCATCTTTCCAAATTTTATCTTTCCATCTTTCCAAAATTTATGACCTCTAAGAGCTCTTTCAGCTTTGAGGTTCTCAGGTTCTAAGATATAAACAGGTAGAGATGAAAGGCAGACAGAAAGACATTCTGTACTAGGAAAGCAGGGATACAGGATTGCAAAGATAAGAGAACATTTAGGAAAAGTCAGACATTATGGGGCTGGAGTTAGAGCAACTCCATTCTTTGGATAGGGGAACAGAGGAGGCTTCATAAAGGAAGTAGCATTTAAGCCAGACATAGAGGGATGAGGATAAGCTTGAAATGTTAAAAAGATGGGCACTATTTCAAGAAAAGGAAAAACACAAAAAGGACTCAGAGACCTGCAATTAAAATTAAAGTACATTTGAATAACGGTGATTTGTCTGATGTGGCTTTTATCCCAGGAAGGAGCAGAGGAATCAAGGGGAAAGAGGTTGTAATGATGAATTTCACCACAGTGGTAGCACCGGTTTCAGCTGGATTTTTGGGCCACCCATAGGTAGCTACTTTTGCTCCTGGTCTTCGTTAAGGTGCCACACAGTTCCTGACAATTTGAGTTGTATAACTAAGCTGGAATAGTGCTCTGCTGTGTGAAGCTGTTGCAGTCCATGGACATAGGCAGGGTTGGCAGAGGCCTTCTGCATCTTTCACTGTGGGTCTTGGGGTAAAGACAACTTATATTTGCCTGCTATACCCACAAATATAAGCAGGCAAATATAAGTAGGGGAGCCTACAAATACCCAGCCTGTCATGTCAGACTTAAGTCTGACAGAATAATTACTTAATGATTTAAAATTTTTCCTATTAGTTGTGATCTCTTGGCTCATTCCATTGTATTATATTTGGGAGGCATGCACTGTAAAAGAAAGAACACAGCTTTTAGGAGAAAACAGATTTGAGGTAGAATTCTCACTTCACTTTTAACTAGCTGTTTTCATCTCAGACAAGTTACTCAAATGCTCTCACCCTCATTTTTCTTCCCTGTAAAATGAGCATAATATTTTTCTTACAGAATTGTTAATAAGGTTTTGATACAAGAACCACACCTTGTACAGTCCCTGATACTTAGTATTGAGAATGGACGTCAACCCATGCTTTCTTCTAATCCAAATGTGGAACTAGCTCAAAAAGAAGAAAGAATGTGAGCAATCAAATGTATGTCTCTGTTCAGGTAACGAGGCGTGATGCATTGAAAAAGGGGCCCAAGATAGCATTGTTTTAAATAAAAGTCTTAAATTCCCTTTCAATTTCCTTGTTCAAATCACTTAAGGGGAGCCTTATGTAGTTCTGCTAATGAAGTCATCCTCAAAATCACTTTCAGACAGACTATTGCTCAATAATAAACTAACTGCATGATAATACACACACCCAAGCCCCCAAGTTGGGAGATTTTTTAAGATCAGAATCCATACAAACAGTCATTGAGAGTCTTAAGGGGGTCATTTGCAGAGATTGGATTTCTCCAAAAGAAAAGAATATACCCATTTTATTCTCTTTATTTTGCCAGCTCATCAAGAAGAAAATGATGAAAAAACTCTAATGCCTATGGTACAATTCATCATGGGGAATTTTATGGCAGAAAAATGTTTTCAATTTATAATGGCATTAATAAGTGACATTGGGCAAAGCCTGTAAGAGACTTTTTTTTTTCTACCAGGAGTCAGCCAGGAATAGAAGAGGAATGTAATCATTACTCATCCCTGGATGCTGAATGTTTAAAGGCATCTTACACAACAGCATGCATTTTATTATCCTGCTATACACCAGGCAGAAAAATTTTACCAAAACTATAATTTGCTGTTTATAATGGAGTCCAATTCAGGTCACATGGTGGGTAAATGGGAGGGTCCTCTCCTTGTCAGAACACTAAGGCTTATTTTGTCAAGTCCAAACAAAAGGGTGGGTCTCAAAAAGAGAGCCATATTGTAGTGTTCGGTTTACATTTTTTTTTTAAACACACACACAGACACACACACACACATACACAAAGACACACACACACTACTTCATTGGCAGAGTTTTCTAATAATTAGAATGTAATGGTAGAAAACTCACTGAGCACTATTTCCAAAATCCACTGTGTTTCCTTATACTTCATGGTCCTTAATTCCCTTGATTGATTTCATATGGCCAAGGCATTCTTGCCTGTTTTCACTCTCCAATCTGGAAATGGGAAGTCACCAAGACCTGTGAGTACTTACCACTGTCACTATCATCATAATTCTGCTGCCCCCATCACCTTCATTCATAATTCACTCGTTTATTTATTCATTCATTCTACACTTAACTCAAAAACTCAAATCAATGAATATTTATTGTATGTTAATATGTCAAGCATTAAAAATGTAACAGTGATTATTTCATAATTCCCTGTTTTCAAGACAAGGGACATCTAATTTAGTAGAGCAGATAGCTGAACAATCACACCACTGCATGATTGCAAGATTGCATGATAAGCACTCTGCTAGAGGATATACTTCGTACAGAGATTCAAAAGTAGCAGAAGCTGAATAACAAATTTAGCATAGAGGTGCCAAAAGAACGCTTCCTGGAGGAGATGCCCTTTTTAAAGTTCAATTGTGATGGATGAGTGAGCATTTTCCAGTAGGAAATGGGTAGAAAGGCAGGATAGACAGAAGAAAGAATATGATGTACAATGGTGAAACAGTAGGGCATAAGCATAGAACAGAAAGCAGTCAAATTTAGCTGAAAAACCAAGCCTAAGCGTGTTGATTAACTTGTTACAGGTAAGGTGTTGTTCTGTATGCTCTAGAATCTCAGATGTGAAGAAACACAGCCACTCATCTCAGAGTTACTAATTTATAATCAGGGAAACTTTCTTCTCCTTTGGCAAGTTAACTGACTCGACTTTGTTGTGCTTTTGTTATTTGTTTTGTTTTGGGGGTTTCTTTTTGTTTGTTTTCTTGTTTGTCTTGATGGCCTTTGTTTTATCCTTTGAGGGACCTAAATGAAGAGAGAGTAAAATGTGAAAATCTGGGATCAGAAATCTCCCTGTCAGAGAGAACAGGAACTACCCTAAGGAAAAAACAGATGTTCCTAGAGATAGCAGGAACTATCCCTAGGAATTAGGGATAGTATCCTAAGGAATAACAAGAAAACCGAAGTGCTAGAGCAGAGTGAGGAAACAGAAGAATAGTAGGCAATAAACAAAGAGAGCAACTTAGGAGCCAGATCACATGTGGCCTCTCGAGCAATATGGTAAAAGTTCTGGACTTCATTCTAGGTGAATGCTAAGCCACTGAAGGATTAAGAATAGAAAAATGAAATTATAGGACTCTCATTTTAAAAGGAGCAATCTGGTTTCTGTGTGGGGCATAGACTGCAGAGGGCAGTGGGGACATAAATGAGGGATTTGTTAGGAGAGGGGCATCTAAACAGACTGAAGATGATTGGGGCTTAAGTTGGTGGTAATGATGGAGGAGATGAGAAGTGGTTGGAATCAAGACATATTTGAATATCACTACTTAACTGTCTCTCTCCCATTTTACTTAACTCCTCAAATGTCTAAACTGTTCATTCTATAAATAGAGAAGCTGAGTCCTAGAGGGGAAGGACTTATCTAAGGCCACACAGTGGGTCCATGGCAGAGATGAACCTGGGACCTAGATATGCTGCCTCTTTTTTAGCCTCCCAAATTTTCTACCACCTTCTTCCAGTCCAAGTCAATTGCATTGTTTTTCATAAGCTTGCAACACCATCTTCCTGATGGCATTTTAAGAAAACCAGACGGCATTCAGCAGAAAGCCTGCCCAGCATCAAGAGAAACCAGGACTTTGATGTGCTCCAATTGGAGCACAGAATATATGTAGAAAATACCAAGCAAATGTTTGGACTAGAAATCCAAAATAACATGTATTTAACTTTGCAATTTAAAAAGCTAAATTCAAACATGTGTCTTGTTGGTTTTCCAGAAAATATAGAATCTTGAAGCATAAAATTAAATAAACACCAGCCACAACTGTGGTCTCTTTCTCCCTCCCTCCCTCCCTCTCTCCCTCCCTCCCTCCCTCTTTTCTTCCAGCATTTTCTCTAATTCTTTTCAAACTCTCTCTTTCATTAAATTAGGAACTTTCCATATGTTTGGTCTGCATAAGGCACCTAATTCACGTTGGCTAATACCATAATACACGGCGGACACTCCTTATTTCCCAGTTACATTATACATGGCCAGCTCTCTGGGCCTTTGCTCATGTTATCCCTCTGCCTGTTCTCTTCCTCAGTGCCCTCTATTTGTCGGAAATGCACTCTTTGCAGTCTCCTTTTTCAAAGGCTATTCCACAGTTCTCCCTGCCATTTAATTGGCTACTTTATTCCTCTTAAATCTTGTTGCAAAAATATAGCTATGAAATCCTCAATTTCTTCAAATTTACAGTACAGATAAAAATATTTCTATTTGTCCCACAGAGATTTGCAAAGATTAAATTAATAGATATCCATGAAATAGCTTGGAAAAGACTAAAGTGTTCCACTGTTAGTATTAGTCTTTCACCCTCCCTCCCTTATTCCCTCTCTCTCCCTTCCTTCCTTCTTTCCTTGTTTCCTAAATTCTTAGGAAAATATACCCTTCCTTTGTTGGGACATGAGGTGCCCCAAACATATAAATGTAATAGATTTCATCATTAGCCAGAATGATAACTAGACAAGCAGTCTCCTTCAGCATCTAGGGCCAATCTACCCTATAGGATTGCTGTAATAGTATCTACCCTATAGGATTATTATAATGGTTCAATTAAAAGATGCATGTAAGGTTCTTTCACTCATTTCCAGCACCTGATAATTGACAAAATAACAACAGCTAACATTCATCAAACACATGTGCTAGGCAGATTCTAAGCATATTACTTGTATTAATTTAATCTTTGAGACAACTCTTTGAGGATTCTTATTATCCCAATTTTATAGACAGGAAAACTGAGGCACAGGAAGGTTAAATTACTTGCCTAAGATCCTACAGATTGAAAATGACAGAGTTAGGATTTGAGCCAGGTAGTGTGACTCCATATCCTGTTCACTTATCCATTGTGGTGAACTGTCTCTAAATAAGCAGTAGACTTAATTGCTGTTATTAATGAGGTCAGCACCAGAAAGGAGAGAAGCAAATGTGGTGCCTTGGAAAGCCTCACAAAAATCCTTCACAGCACTGCAGCCCTGCCGAGTTGATTCAGGACATAGAAATGCCTGATGGTTCCTTTCAAAATGGCTCCTGCTGACAAAATTCCAGATCCCCATGCTTTGCTCTTTGGCATTAATTAAAACAAAGGAGTTAATCAAGATAAACTTCCACACCTACCCAGCACCAGCCTGGAAGTTTATCATGTCTAAATATGTTTCTTATGCATTTACTGCAAATTAGTTTCTGAAAGTGAATTTCAAGGTCTAGTGACTCTGAGGTTCCCTAACTCCATTTTCATTAAGTTTTCACAAATGATCTACTGTTGCATTATTCTTTTATAGTGCAGATTTAAGGCCCCACTATGAAAAGCAATTATGCTGTCAGAAAAGTGTATTTTGACTTATTAAAAAATCTGAAAGGTTTCAGAAAACTATTTATTTAGGTTCTCATCAGGAAAGTATTTTGACAGTCCTCAGAAAAAAAGCACTTTTCAGTTGCATACTATTTGGAGTAGCCTAACAAGGCCTTTCCGCGACACATATGTGGGGTAGTGGAATAAGCACAGCACAGAGCATCAAGAGGCTATGAGTGCTACTTCCGGCAGAAAGGCCTTGGGTCTTTCTGTCCTCATCTGAAAAAATACAGAGGTTGGACACAGTAACCTCCAGAATAACAAGTGTACAGAGGTTCTATGATTACAACTGCCTGTACTGAGCACCTACTATGTCTCAGGGATGGTGTATATCTAACTCTGAGAGGCATACTATATATCATTCCCATTTTATAGATGAGGAAACTGAAGCTTAAAATGGTTAGGTGACTTACCCAAGGTCACTCAGTAGACAGTAGATTTGGGGTGTAACCTCTATTGTATATTCTATGGCAGGGGTCCCCAAACCCCCAGCCTTGGACAGGTACTGGGCTGTGGCCTGTAAGGAACCAGGCAATACAGCAGGAGGTGAGCAGTGGGCAAGGAGTGAGAATTACTGCTTGAGCTCTGCCTCTTGTCAGATCAGCGGCAGCATTAGATTCTCATAGGAGTGAGAACCCTATTGTGAACTGCGCAAATGAGGGATCTGGGTTGTGTGCTCGTTATGAGAATCCAATGCCTGATGATCTGAGGTAGAGCAGTTTTATCCTGAAACCATCTCCCCCTCCACCCCCAGTGGAAAAATTCTCTTCCACAAAAACAGTCCCTGGTGCCAAAAAGGTTGGGGACCACTCTTCTGTGATACATACACATGATGAAATAGTATTGAGGGGAAAAAAAACAGAAAAACTGTTGATATGTTCAATAATATGGACGGTTGACTTAAATAAGTCAGATATAAAAGAGTTCATACTCTTTGACTCCATTTATATTTATATGAAGTATTTATAGAAAGTTCAAGAACAGACAAAACTAATATGCAGCAATGGAATCAAAAGTGGCTGCCTATGGAGGGGCAGAGAGTGAATAGACAGAAGAACTTTCTGAGGTGATAAAAATATTCTAAATCTTGGTAGGGATGGTTAAAAAGATGTACACATTATCAATGCCCATGGAATCAAATGCTTAAGTTCAGTGCATTTTACTGTACATAAACCTCAAAAAAAGTGCATGTGGCTAGTGGGCAGTTTGTTTGGCTTGTGAACCCCATGCACTGACACCAGTATACAAAGACTTGCCTCCTTTGAATAGGCTGGGGCAGTGCGCCCAATCTCTAGGAACCTAAAAGGCAGGGATAGCTCTCTTCTCTGCCTGGTGTTTCTCCATCTATGCAGGCCTCTGATGATGCTGGGCAAGATCTCTGCATTGAGAGAATGATCAAGGCTTGTGTTTGTGCCTTTGTCCTGCATGACTATGGGTCAGTAATTCCCCTTCTTGGATACTAGTTTCCTCATTTTAAAATAAACAGTCTATAAGCACCTTTCTAACTCTAAACTTACCTCACTTCGTACCGAGGTGCTTTTTTCATGAAAAGTCCCCACGCCTAGTTGCTTTCATTATGGAAAGCTGGACTGAGGGCAACAGAGGTAGGGAAGCTGAAGGGAGATGGTCAAGTTGGGGGATATGGACTTAGTCCATCCGTATCTTCTCATACAGTAATTATAAGTAATATTGTGAAATAATATGAGGTGTGAAATAGTCAGGAGGATGAGGACTCAGACATGATCCTAGTTTAGGTCTCAGTCCATGGACAGAATAAGGATTCAGTTGTGTCTTATTTTTAGCTTATTTTTTGTATGCCTGCTCTATTCTAGACACTGACTAGTATCCTTTAAAGGCAGTCCCTCATTTCATTCTCAATCCCGTGGGGTAGGCATCATTATCCCATTTTATAGGTGAAGAAAGGTTAAATAATTTGCCTGAGGTAGGTGACTTTCTTACAGCGTAGCTAGAATCTGATTCATATATCTCTACTTTGAACCTCTATCTTAAAAGACAATGTTGGCCTGAAGTTAGCCTATGGGTCAGGGCTCAGCCTGAAGCCAAGTTTAAGAGGCTCAGTCTGTGACCAAGATCAGTGATCAGTATAAGACAGGGGTTAGAAAGAATTGTTCATTTTTTGGCAGATATTATTTTTGAAACCAAAGCATAGGGGATAAAAAATACATTCTAGATTGGAAAGAAAAGATAACTAATTTGAAGGTGGCACCCACTGTTTGTTACGCAGTAAGGGCTGCAACAGGAACAATTAGAAGACTCTTATTCCATGTAACCCTAAAATATACCTTTTGATGTAGGTATTACCAGGCTCATATAGATCAAGCAACTGGCCCAAATTTGTCAAATTTAAAACATTCTCATGAGCACCTAATTCTATCTCTAGTCCGTAGTGTGTAGTGTGTGCAAGTGTGTGTGTGTCAGGAAATACGTAAACAGAATAAAGGTTACAGTATAATGCTAGGGATGCCCTCAAGCAAATTCTTTTTCTTTTTTAATTGATATAAATTTCACTAAGTGAAATCTAGATTTTCACTAAGTTATTGTGGTGGTAGTCCCATAACTATTCATGGCTATAATTTTAAAATGCCAAGCCATCTATTTGAATTAAGGCATGAAAAATAAAGTTATCTTTATAATATATTTGGATCTATTTCCTGGCCAATTAACTGTGTACATATCACATTTTAGGGTGAATTGCTCTACTGCAGCCTCTTCCAACTTCCTAATGAAACATACAGGAAAGGCAAAGAAGTAATAATAATTTACAATATCCACAATTAGAATGACAATCTATTGCTAGAAACTGGGAGTTACTTCTATGAACTCTAGTACTGCCAGAGCTGGGCTAAAGAAAACAGTTAGTGGCCTACTTATGCTTTGTCTCAAGAAATAGAACAGGGCCTTCCACTGAAAGAAGGTGGGAAAAAACCCCAATTCATCCCTTGACCACTATCTATGGGACTCAAGAGCTATAACAGGCAGCAAACTGGCATCCCTTCCTCTATTTCATAAGCATTGTTATTTAAGGCAGCCGAAGTACTTCTATCTTCAATCCCTGCTCAAACCTTTCTCCCCCTAGACATATCTTACTGCATTTATTCGATGACTTCAACTTTCAGAAAACATAAAGGGCACTGATTATGGTATGCTGCATCCTAGGAACTGTCATCTACACTTATAAAACAATGTAGTCAAGCATGACAAACAAGAAGTGGTAACAGGGTTATTAGAGATAGTAGCGTTGGGGTTTTGTGTGCTTGTTTGTTTATTTAATGTGCTACAGAGAACAAAGTAGTGTAGGTTAGAGAAGATCCCATCTCAGTACATCACAGACTGGATGTGCTAGTTCAGGTGCTCTGAAAATCTGACATCAAACATCCTATATGTGCAATAAATTTACTTTGGGAAATGGCTGTGAGAGAAAATGAGGAGGGAACTCTGAGAGGCTGGGATTGCAGTCAGATATGATGTAGGTACTCAAGGGTATGACCTTGAGTGAAGGATAAAGGGAAAGAAGGACGAAAGTTTAGGTAGAAGTGTCTTAGACTGCAGTGCAGTTCTAAGGAAAGATAGACAAGGCCAACAGAGAGAGCTTGAGCCAAGTATGCCTGTCAGAAGAGTCCCCCATTACCCCAGGAATAGGACAGCCTTAATATCCCAACTGAGCTGAGCTTTTTGTGAGGGCAGCCTATGGAATGTGTTTCCTGTGTGCAAATGCAGCAGTGGATTTCAGCACAGCAGCTGGGACCCTCAGTCAATTACAGTTCTTGCATGAGAAGTACTCTGCTGGCTGCCACACTGGGAGAAGTGTACAACTTAGTCTCCTGTTATAGACCTGAGGAGGAGATATGAACACAGTGATGAGAAATGCCACATCCTAAATTTCATCCACAAAGTCTAGTTAGATTCCCATAAATTTTATTTTTATAAAACTTGATAGAGGAGAAATTTATGAACCAAAATCTAATTGAGTCTATAGACATTCTTATTACTTCCCCATTTGACTCACCTATTTGGCGAGTGAAGTAATTGGATGAATCTTGGAGAATGACTATAAAATACTATAAATTTAAATAGGTGGTGACTCTAATTACAGTTGTTATTCTGGATAAATTTATTGGCTAAATATCAAACAATTCCTATTTCTGGCACCTTGTATAAGCTATTGATCTGGCAAATACTTTTCTCTTTATCAGTTTTCAAAGACCACAGGAAACAGATTCTACCTGTCAGGGACCATAGCATACCTTCCCTATATTTTTGTAGGGCTATTTCAATTCTCTTGCTTTTTTATCATAATCTAGTCTGCTGAGCTCTTGATTATCTTGACTCCCACAGATCATCCCAATGGTACACTATGTTGACAGCTACAATATTATAAGGAGGAAGTTGCAAGTGCCATAAATGCTGTAAAAGACACAGAATGTGAGAAAGTGAGAGATAAATCTCATAAAAATCCAGAAGCCTATCATTTCAATGAAATTTAAAAATGTCTAGGGGTCTGGGGCATATTGGAATATCCCCTCCAAAGTGAAAAATAAGTTGCTATATTTTGTACTAAAGAAGCACAATGACAGGTGGGCCTTTCTGGATTTTGAAGGAAACATGCACCATATTTGACTGTGTTGTTCTTCTATTGAATAATCTGTAATGTTACCAGTTTTTGGTGGAGCCCACAGAAAGAGAAGACTGTGCAGTAGGTCCAGACTACAATGAATGTTGCGCTGGTTTGGACCTTATGACCCAACAGACCCAAAATTACTGTGGTCAATAGGGATGCTCTGTGAAGCCTATGGCAAGCTCCAGTAGGAAAACCACACAGAAGATTCCTATAGGTAAGAGAAACCATCTCAACTATCTTGAGAAACACCTGCTAGTTGTGTTGTAAACCCCGATAAAGATGAAACATCTGACTCTGGGACATCAAGTGATTACGTGGCCTGAATTGCTCCTCATGAACCAAGTATAATCTGACTCCCAGGAAGCCATAAGATTGAGCCTACTATCCACCAACAAGTGAAAATGGTGTAAGTGATATAGCGGCATACAAGGTTCTAATAGATATGAAGATACAAGTAAGTTGCATGAACAGGTAAGTTGGATTCCTAGAGCATTTCTTCCTGCAGCACTGTTTCTTTACCTTCAGTTCACGCTATGACTTCAAAGGAAATTCTGTGGAACTGATTGAAGAATAAGAAATCTGCATGGCACGCTGGTATCAATCAGAAGTGGGTTGCTATAGTTTTATAGTCCCCAAATCAGAGGTATCCCTGAAAGATAATAGTAATGGGGAATCTTTCCAGTGCTCAGAACTTCAAGCAGAACATTTGGTTGTCCACTTTGTTTGAACAGAGAGATGGCCAGAAGTACATGTCTTCTTATTAATAGCCTAATGGTTTTGCTAGATGATCAGAAACTTGGAATGAAGATTGGAATATTGTTATCAGGGAGATCTGAGCAAGACATTTGACAATGGAATTATTGGGATGGGAAGAGTGTGAATGTTTTATATTTTACATAAATCTAACTAAAGAGTACCCACTGCAGAGGGGGTTCCCAAATATCATGTAGATAAAATAATGTATTCCTTGGATGTCAGTTAGTCTCCTTATCCAGACTTCCAAGTTCTGGCTTGATGGATCAATATACAAAGAGGCCATGGCAGCAAGCTACACAACTTGGACTTTTCCTGAATATCGAATCTGTCAGTAGCAGAGACCAATACTGATTCTCTGATATGGTACCATTGACCAGCCAGTCACTTGGTGGCAGAATGATTATAGTATACTCCTTCCATAATGAAGGGGCAGTGATTTGTCCTCGCTGGAAAGTGCATTTATTATGGACTTGAATCTGCTTTTTCTATACTAATGCTTCTTCTAGCACCATCATCCATGGGTTATATTAATAGAATGTCTTATTTACCTATGGTGTCCTACACAGCATTCATTCTGACAAACATACTCATTTTGCTGCAAAGACATAGCAGTGATAGGCTCATGCATATAATATTTATTGGTCTTATCCTTGCAGTTCCTAGAATATGTCAAGCATGCATCTACCTCTGGACCTTTGCACTTGCCATTCTCTCTGCCTGGAATGCTCTTCCCCTAGAGAAACAAAGGGCTCATTCCTCCTCAACCTTTAGTCTTAACTCCAATATCCCCTACTTTTTTAGACCTTCTAAGGACCATCCCACCTAAAGTTGCAACACTCTTTCCAGATTTTATATCACCCTCACTACCTTTTTCCTTTCTTCAGCATGTATCACAAATCTTGCATATATTTCACTTATTAATATTTTTATTGTCTCCCCATTAGAAAGTATCCCTATGAACCCAGAGATTTTTTTTTTCTGCAGTGTTTTCTACAGTGTCCCTAAACCAATACTGTCCCTAGTGTGCCTGGCACATAGTAGATGCTCAATAAACATTTTTGAATGAGTGATGAATGAACAAACCTGGATAGTATATAGGAAGTATAAGGAAGGCTAACAATGCATGAATACCGAGTACAATTCTATAAGCCAGAACTCTAGATTTTAATTTTGGCTGTGCCAGTTATAAGCTCTGTGACTGTAGACTGTTTATTAACCTTTCTGTTCCTCTGCTTCTTCCTCTGTAAAATAAAAATTGGTGTCTAAAAATATATTTATTTGTTTTAATATATGCCTCATTTCCAAGAAGCAGTTGGCCTCATAGATTTATGAGATGATCTAATAAAGTCTCAGTTCCAGTTCCAGTTGGGAAACCGAAAGTTTGGGGTGTTCTCTGACAAGAGATAATGTATGCTTTGAAACAGTGTTTAACATATGATGCTGTTTCTCACACAGTGAGAACATAGACATCCGAGACTCAAGGGTGGAAATGAGATTGGCTCCTCTCATATTACACCTGAAAACCCATTTACAGAAGTTTCATTTCTCATACCCACAACCTTGGGGTCTGCTTGATTAGGAGGTTTTATTTCCTAAGGGAACACAATAATGGCTCCATTGAAGTAGAAGCTAAGGCTACCACTGGTCATTTAGAGTTCCTTATGCTACTAAGCTAACAGGCAAAGAATCATGTTGCCGTATTGGCTGGGGAGACTGATCCCAATTACTAACGAAAATTGGGTTGTTGTGACACAAATGGGAGCAAGAAACACTAGTCTGGAACCCAGAGGATTATCTGCGAAGCTTTTTAGTGCATCTGTGCCCAATAACAAAAGTTAGTGGAAAAATAAAGTAACCCAATAAAGGTTCACTGAGAATGCATACTCTTCAGAATATAAAGTTCAGCATTGGTAGTTACCTTTACAAGTTGGCCTTTAGATTACATATTATTAAGGGTGACTGTGACTAAAAGCCATTGCTCAGAGACAGATAACATGACCTTATCTAGAAACAGATACAGTGGCCATTGGAACCTTGTGTCTTACTCTTTTGAGGAGATGGTGAGAACATATTTATGCATATGAAAATTAGTTGCATCTTATAAGGTGAAAACACGAAGTTCACATATTTTGTTACTTGGAAGGTCAACTATGTATGGAAATGTGAGTATAGGTAAGTAACCAAAGGGATGGACTGTGTCCGTTATTCACCTACTGTCTCTCATTCAAATCTACCCTTTTCACTCTGCTGTGTGATACTGCAAATTACATTTCCCAGATGTCTTTGTTACTGTCTTCCTGCTAGGTTCTGCCAATAACTAAAGAGAAACTGGAAGGCAGTAGGAGGAGAAAAGAGATTGTTTTTCTGCTTTGTGTGTTTCTATGAGTTAAACCCCAGAAGTAGCTGTTGGGTCCAGCTTCCAGCTTCTTTTGGTACTCCTAGAACCAGCCTCTTTATGTCCTCTCAGAGGTACCAGCCACAGACAGGCAATGCCCTCTCCTCAAAGGTCTGAATCCAATGCTGCAGAGTCCCTCTCTAAGCTCCTAGGTCCTGATAACTCCCACTTGTTCCTTTTGTTCCCTAATGCTTCCGGTGATAACAGCTTCCTGCAATTGTCCCTGAGTTATTTAATGTCCTTTTTTTCTCCTTTAGTCCTCCATCCTAGTAACATTTTCCATATACTAAGCCCTTTTGTTGAAATGCTTAGTGTAATTTTGTTTCCCTGAATGAACCTGACTGACCTAGTCACATAGAAATATGTCCTTTTAAACAGGATCTCAAGGTCACTCGACAAGGCAATGGCTAAACTGCATTAATTAATAGCTGCAATGTTTTCAATCTTTAAAATAAATTTGTTTTTCTTTTGAGAACAAAGAGTAAAAGAAGCAAAGATACCTGTGCACTCAAGATAAAGGTAAATAATTAAATACCTGGCAGTAAAAGATAATTGACAACAAATCTGTGCCCTTTACAAATGGAGACCTTTGTGTAAGGTCTATTTAGAACAACTTCAAAGTGACTTAATTCTGCTTGGCAAAAGCTGGAAAACATAAATGAATTCTCCTTTCCCTTGTTAACTTTGTTCTGATTCCTTTCAAACTCAAATGTTATATTCCAATTGGACTAATAGTCCACACTTTCTGTGTGTATAAATATGCACTTAACTCTAAATTAGTATCTCTACTTTTCCTCAAATAATTGACCTGTATCCTAAAACTGTAATTTTTAAAATCTTGTGACACAGAGTATTCTAAAACATTACTCACTAATTCATTTTATTTACTATTTCAACAAATATGTATCACGTGCCTGCTATGTTTAGATTGTATTTAGATTGTGCTAAGGAACTGGAATATAGAAGAAGTAAAAACAGACACATTCCCTACCCTCAGATGCTTCCAGTCTATTGGGGAGATAGACATTGATGAAAAAAATCACATATGTAGTTGAAAAATTTAATAGTAAATAGGGCTTAAATATACAGTGATAAGCGATAAGGTATAAATATATGATAACCTATAATAGTGATTTGGATAGGGTGGGAAAAAGGGAAGCAGGAAAATAATCCAAAATCTTTAATCTTTGAAGAATTGAAAGCCACCAAAGTGTTTTTTTTTAATTTGGGGGGAACTTCAGTGAACAAATGTGCATTTGATTCACTGAAGAGAATAAGTTCAATTAAGTTTGTACTGGCAGGGATATATAATGTAAGAAAGACACTGGATTTTAAGGCACACAACCTAGATTCAAGAAACTATTATTATTTAATTGGATATAAGATTTGAATGGCAATTACAAGGGTTGATTATGATACTTCCCAATTTTATATAGAAGGGAGGTTTTATGAGTTGAAATTAATTTTTAAAATTTTTATTTTACTGAGGTAACAATGCTTAACATGAGATCTATCCTCCTAACATACAATAGAGTTTTAAACAGTTCATTCTGTATATAATAGCTTTATCTCTGTAGTATTTATTATGTCTATAGTATTATAGATGCTTACTCAGGAAGGTGATACAAATATTACATGTTATTTTTTCCCTCCTTTCAGCTAAGCCTGACTTAGCTCTGTCAGACTGTCCCCAGGTAGATTCTAAATATAAGTGCGGCATTGGGCAGCTGCTTCTCTTCAGCTCTATTTATTCCTTGCAAAAATGCTGAGACATTGCTTTTTTGCTTTAGCTTTTGTTTTCCCCTAATTATGTTCAACTTAAATGGCTATAGGAGCTAAAAATATAGCATGGAGAAGAGCTGTGAGAGCATTTAGTACAGGTCCTGAATGAACACCTCCCTCAGAAGCCACTTTTTAAATTGGCTTGATGCTCAATATGGAAAAATTCCCAACAGCCTCCAAAGCTATTGTCACAAAATAGATAGCCAGATTGCTGCCAAACATAATCCAGGGAACTGACAGTTAATCTAATGGAATCCTAGAATCATAGAGTTATAGATTTAAGGAAACACAGAAACTTAGAACTTCAAAATTATAAACTAAAACACACATTTTTAAAAATATGGAGACACTTGAGCTGGGCATGGTGGCCAGTATCTGTAGTCACAGCTACTTGGGAGGGTGAGGCAGGAGGAATACTTGAGCCCAGGAGTTCAAGGCCAGCCTGGACAGCACAGACAGGTCTTATCTCTTAAAAGAATAGGTGGTGATTGGAATTAGTGTTTAAAAAGTAAAGAAGAAATATATATATATATATATATATATATATATATATATATATATATATATATATATATATATATAGTTGAAAGTAATCTGAAGTCCACCTGCTTCAACTAACCACTCTATGTTTGAACTTACTATTAATATAATATCTGAGCCCTCAAGTAGCTGCTAATATTCTATTTGAATGCATAGAGTAATAGGAGCTCATTACCTCCCTAGGTAGCCTGTTTCATATTTGGGCAGCTTGAAATATTAGAAAGCTTATCTCAAGGCTGAGATTAAATCTGACCTCTGGTAATGCCAACACATTGGTCCTGGTAATTCCTACAGATTGGTCCTGTTCTAGTACAAATGCTGTGAATGTCCAAGGAGATAAAACATGGATAAGCTCACTCAAGGTCCTTTGGATTTGTTTGATTTCCTTCAGTCATAGACATAGCAACACAAGAATACAATCAAGAACATCTGTGTATTTTGTTACGAGGCCTGGGCCTTAGTTATCTTCCCATGCTTCTTAATCATTTTCCTGTATTATTTAATAGAAATCTGAGTTAACTCTGATTTCTTCTTATCTATTTCTGCACATGATAGGGAATATTTGTCAAATGTATTCTATATACTTTATATATGTTCTAAGGACTTTATGGGTGTAACTCATTTATTTCTCAAAATAACCCTGTGAGATAGGTTTGTCATTATCCTCATTTCTCCAATTTATCCTCATTATGTAGAGGAAAAAAAATTGAGAAGCAAAAAAAGTATGTACCACATACAGGTTTTTCAATAGTGAGTGCCATAGCTGGAATTCAAGCTCAGGACATCTGACTACATGAGAAGACAAAAATAAAATCAAACAAACATAAAACAGGATGATAGATGCAATAATAAAAAGTGTGTGTGGCCAGGTGCAGTGGCTCATGCGTGTAATCACAGCACTTTGGGAGGCCGAGGCAGGTGGATCACCTGAGGTCAGGGGTTCGAGACCAGCCTGACCAACATGGTGAAACCCCAGCTCTACTAAAAATACATAAATTAGCCAGGCGTGGTAGTGCGTGCTTGGAATCTACTACTGTAATCAGCTACTCTGGAGGCTGACACAGGAGAATCGCTTGAACCCAGGAGGCAGAGGTTGCAGTGAGCCAAGATTGTGCCATTGCACACCAGCCTGGACAAGAGCGAAACTCCGTCTCAAAGAAAAAAAGAAAGTGTGTGCACACAGAAGAGCGATCAACTTCATCTTGGGGTGAGGGTAGGAGCCAAGGAGAACTCTGGAGAAGTGTTGATAACAGATCAAGGTTTTGAAGCATGACAAAGAGCTCACTAGGTAGATAAATGGTGAAGAACCTTCTGACAGAAGAGGTGACATATTGAAAAGGCAGAGAGGTGTGTTTGGGACCCAACAAGTAGTTCACTAGGACTGTTTGGTAAAGTACAAGGGAGAAGGAGTAAGGAAGAAGTGGGTAGGAGCCAGGTGACAGGGCTGTGGTGCCAACTAAGGAATTTTCTTTTTTATTTAAGTTTTAGGGTACGTGTGCACAACGTGCAGGTTTGTTACATATATATACATGTGCCATGTTAATGTGCTGCACCCATTAACTCGTCATTTAACATTAGGTATATCTCCCAGTGCTATCCCTCCCACTCCCCCCACCCCACAACAGGCCCCAGTGTGTGATGTTCCCCTTCCTGTGTCCATGTGTTCTCATTGTTCAATTCCCACCTATGAGTGAGAACATGAGGTGTTTGGTTTTTTTGTCCTTGTGATAGTTTGCTGAGAATGATGGTTTCCAGCTTCATCCATGTCCCTACAAAGGACATGAACTCATCATGTCCTTTTTTATGGCTGCATAGTATTCCATGGTGTATATGTGCCACATTTTCTTAATCCAGTCTATCATTGTTGGACATTTGGGTTGGTTCCAAGTCTTTGCTATTGTGGATAGTGCCGCAATAAACATACGTGTGCATGTGTTTTTATAGCAGCACCATTTATAATCCTTTGGGTATATACCCAGTAATGGGATGGCTGGGTCAAATGGTATTTCTAATTCTAGATCCCTGAGGAATTGCCACACTGACTTCCCCAATGGTTGAACTAGTTTACAGTCCCACCAAGAGTGTAAAAGTGTTCCTATTTCTCCATATCCTCTCCAGCACCTGTTGTTTCCTGACTTTTTAATGATTGCCATTCTAACTTGTGTGAGATGGTATCTCATTGTGGTTTTGATTTGCATTTCTCTGATGGTGCCAACTAAGGAATTAAAACAGGGTTTTACAAGAGAGTGACAGGGTAAAAACAACAAATGCATTTGCTTACCTGTGTATGTGAGGTTTTTTAAAATTTTGAAATATAAGTATGATCAGTTGTACAGATGTTATTTTGGGACCAAGTTACTCATCAAAAATGACATTCCTGAGACTGAAGTTGCTTTCAACATAATAACAAATTTTAACTCTTCCTTCATATTCATATGAAAGCCAAGAACATTCTAATACTTAAAAAAAACCCTAAAATTCCATTTAATGTTGCCATCTAGATAAATTGTCGCAATTATGGGTAAACAATGGTGCAGGTAGCAACCTCCTGGAGGGCTGAAAAAAAGAGGTTGAGAATAGTCTGTTCTGTCAGGCTTTTGACTTGGCAGCTGCTTCCAGGTTTATGGATACTCAAAGGGAAACAAGGACAAGGAGTTTCTGGCGGAGACACTCAACTTGTATGGAGATATTAGTAAGTGCTCACTGACAAATAGGCATCCCACAAGGGACATCTGGACCTTGCTCATTTCTCAGAATTAAATAAGATTATTGTAAAAGGCAACAAAGCAAAATTATGGGGGAAAAAAACCTTATCCTAAGTAGTTTCCATCAAGCAAACAAATAGCAAAAATGTAGAAAATTCAAGTTAATTTCATAAATGCATTCATTCATTCAATCAGAGAGCAAATGTTAATCGAGGAAGCAAACCTATTAGAATTTGGGTTCTGGTCATGGTTCAGCCACTTACTAGCTGTGAGTCCCTGGGCAAATTAATTAATCTCTGTGCCCCAGTTTTCTCAATTATAAGAGAAGAAATAATAGCAATAATAATACCTGTATTTTTAGGGGTAGAGAATAAGAGAGTTGATTGAAAAGATATCAAGGGGGTGAAAACAACCAGAATCAAATTTGTTAACCATATAAATGAGGAATGAGGAAGAGAGAGAAGCTTAGAAAGGTCTCTAGGGATCTGATCTAGGGCTAGTTATAAAAACAGGGAACACAGCAAGGAAGGACTGAGGACACATTTATTAGGACTCTGTTATAGGTAAGGCATGCCAGGAGAGAAGCAGATGCTCTTGTAGCTGAGGCAAGACTTTTATATCTGTGTCATTTAGGAGAGAACATACAAGGATATGATATTGCTAAAATGAGTACTAGGAGGCTATAAGAATTCACCAAAGAAAAAGCTCAGGGAAAGTTGCTACAATCATGACAGGCAGTAGAGGATTAGAAGCCTGAAGATAAAGTTTAATCTCATCAAGTCTAACCTCCACTACCACTTTTCAGATGTGGAAACTAATGTTTAAAGTGGGAAAGTACCTTGTCCATGGTCACACAATGAATTAGAGGTAGGACTAGGACTAGGAATGTAGCCCTCTTTCTGCTACATTGGGTTCTATGCTCCCACAGGGACCTGAACAGGGAAGCTCTCAGGTACCTTTCTATCTATCTACTGCACAGCAGGGCTTTGGCTAGTATGTTTTATCTTTCTTTAAAAAAAAAATCTGCCTGAGCCTCGGCTTTCCCATCCGCCTATCATATTTCTTCTTGGACACTCACAGTGCACACTAGGTTTTCAATATGCACTGTGAGTGTCCAAGAAGGGATATAATAGGCAGTTTTCTTTTTTTGAAGTAAAAAATTAAAAAAAACCCCAATACTGTTTAACCTAATATTTTCCAAACAGATACCTACTATCTTATAATGCCTATATATGTTCCCATGAAACACAATTTGAGACATGCAGAAACAATTCTGCTAGGGAGATGCAAGGCTTATAATCTGACCTACGGTGAAAGTTGGAACAAATAGGGCTATCTGATGCCTGAACTGTGCCTGGAAATATAGTAAGAGTTAGTAAAAAGAAGGAGATAGTGAACAGGGAAGGCCTTCTGGGCTGAGGAAATGTAGAAATGTGCCACAAGATCATATATGCAGAATTCCACAATGGAAATTGAGCACAAAGGAGTAGAGAGAGATTAGGATAAAGAGGTAACTGGAGTTTCCAGCAAGAGGGACTTACGATGCCATAATAAAGAATTTGGGAGGATGTTCACTTCTAGCTGAGAAAGAATAACAGTTTGGATTTACCCTCCCACCTGAAAAAACAAACCAAAAAAACAGAAGAAAATACATGGAAAAATGGTTTACAAGACATTGGACATAAGACAATGAAGGTCAGTGATCACTGTGAGATGGAAAACTAATGTATTCAGCTCCAGGATTGCCCCAGCTTATCAGAGAGTTTATAGGCCAGGGCACAGGGAGGGAAACCAAAGAAGAGGCTGATATACTCCCTGAGTTAAAGGGACCAATCTGAGAGCTTGGAAAGACCCTCAACTAAAATTTGCAGGTCAGAGAACTGGAGAGGACAGAGTAGAAGACAGAAAAAATTAAAGAGCTTTGCCAAGGGTTCTCCTTGAGTATTCAGTAGAGTACTGATCAGCACAAGTATGTGGAAAAACTGCAGCCAAGGAAAGAACCATTTGAAGGATTAGATGGAAAAGTGCCTGGTACTCACACAGGGCTAAGAACAGTTAAACTAGAAACCTCATAATTCATAGGGCACTGGGTAGAGTACTCAGAAGGAAGGGACTGGCCTCAGTGGTAGGGAAAAATTAAGCTGAGCAAATACTTTTCTGGTGTCACCTAATGAACTTAAAAGCAAGACTTCAAAGAACGAAACTGTTTCTAAGTAACATAACTGCATCCCAGAATGAAGTTTAAAAACATTTACAGGAAAACAGAAATGTCTACCACTGAACAGGGTAAAATTCAGTCATTTGAGAAATGTCTGCTATATAATAAAAAAAAGCAGGCATGCAAAGAAGCAGGAAAATAAATTGAAATAAATGGAAATAAAATAAATTGAAAATAATGAGGAAAATAGTCATATCAAAATGGACATAGAACTGATACAGATGTTAGCATTAGCAGAAAAAGACATTGACAGTTATTATAGCTGTATTCCATATGTTCCAAAAGTTAAGAAGAGACATGAAAGATATAAATCAAGCGTCTGTAGATAAAATTATAATATCTGAGATTACAGTGTACATTGGATGGAAAAATGGCAAATTAGATATTGCAGATAAAAAGACTAGTGAATTCGAAGACATAGCATTGTATCAATAGAAACTAACCAAAAAGAAACACAGAAAGGAAAAAAGACCTTCCCTCCCCAATTAACAAAAAAACAGTGAGCTCTGGGACAACTTTAATTATCCTACTATACAATGAATTGGAATCCTTGAAAGCAGGGCTAGGGGTAGGCACAAAAAATGTCTGTGGAAATAATAGGTGAAATTTTTCCACGTTTGATGAAAACTAAAACTGGCTGATTAAAGAAACTCAATGAATCCCAAGCACAAAAAACATGAAGAAAACTATACCAGGGCACATCATAATCAATTTGTTTAAAGTCAGTAATAAAGAGGAAACTTGAATGTAGCTAAAGGGGAAAACCATGTTACATACCGAGAAACAACGATAAAGATGAAAACAGACTTCTCTTTGGAAACAATGCAAGTGAGATGACAGAGCAACATGTCTGAAGTATGGAAAGAAAAAACTTCAAACTAGAATTCTATACCTAGCAAGAATTTCAAAACTAAGACAAAATTCAGGTTTTTCAGATATAAAAAAGCTAAAAGAATTCACTACTAGCAGACCCACACTCTAAGAAGCATTAAAGGAAGTGCTTCGAGCTGAAAGAAAATTATGCCAGATGGAAATATGGATACCAGATGGAAATATGTATCTACCACATTAAAAGCATCATTTAACCATATGAAACAATACATAAGAATATGTCTTATTAGTTAAATAACTTCAAAAGATTTTACTATTCAAATAAAATAATAACAATGTAGTTTGGGGTTTATAATGGAAAATATATTGATATAAGGTTCTTATACTACATATGAAGCAGCATAATGTCAGTTGAATATAGATTATGATAAAGTTGTATACTACAAACCCTACATAAGCTACAAAAATAATGGAAGTAGTTAATTAGTTATTTAAGAGTTATATTTAATAAACTCTTATACAGCTAGTATCTAATAAACCAACAAAGGAAATAAAATGAAACCGTAAACATATTCAAAGAATACTCCATAACCATAACCATAACCATAAACATATTCAAAGAATACTCCAAAATATCCCCAAAGAAGGAAAAAAAAGAGAAAACAGAAACAAAGACTAGATGAAACAAATAGAAAACAAATAGCAAAATGAACACCGTAATTTAAAAATCAGAGATTTACAGATTAGATAACAAAGCATGGTCAAATTTATTATCCATAATAAATGTCCTTCAAACATAAAGACATAAATAGATTAAAAGTAAAAGAATGGAAAAGGTATACCATATTAACACTAATAAAAGCTGAAGTGGCCATATTAATATCAGATTAAGTAGACTTTAGAGCAAAGAATATTACCAGGGATAAAGAGAGTAATTTCATAATAATAAAGGGGTTAATTTATTAAGAAGATTTAACAATTCTAAATATTTATGCATCTAATACCAGAGCTTGAAGATACATAAAGCAAAAATTGATAGAATTGAACAAATCCGTAATTATAATCAGAGATTTCAATACTTCACTCTCAATAATTGACAGATTACATAGATAGAAAATCAGAAAGGATATAGACGATTTGAACAACACTATCAACCAATTTTACCTAATTGACACTTATAGAACATTCCACTCAACAACAGCAGGATATATATTTTTCTCAAGTACATGCAGAACATTACTAAGACAGATCATATTCTGGGTCATAAAACAAGTTTCATGCATGTGAAAAACCTGATGGAATCTACATAAAAGCTGTAAGAACTAATAAATGAGTTTAGCAATGTTGCAGGATACAAGATAAAACTCTATCCATCCTCAGGGATCCAGTGTGGTTCTATGAAGACACCAGCCTATTTTATAAGTCTGGGTTTTTCTCATGCTGGGCACTCTTCCTAGAATGCTCTTATTTTTCTTCTCCTCCTGCTTCCCCTTCCCCACCATGCACTCAAGAAAGCTGTGTAAAAAGACTGCTTATTTTTCAAGATTTAACTAAAATATCACCTTCTCTATGAAGCCTTTCCTGACCCACCCCCTCATTCCCCATCCCAGGGGAAAATTCATCCATCTTCTGAATGCTATATACATACACTTAAAATGGAACCTACCTCTACCGTTCTAAAAAAATTATCTATGAGCCACTCGAGAACAGGGATTTTTCCTACCCATTCCATGAAGTTTAGTGGATAAATGAATACCTTCTCCACTGTAATGTAACAAAATTGTGCCAAACTATTTATGTATGTTTGTATCTCCTTCACTGAATAGGGGGGGCTTCTAATGAGTGGGGATTGTGTTTGACTTCTATTTTATGCTCATTATCTAACACAATGCCAGGCACATGGTAAACTTTTCATGTACGTATGCAGACTATATACCTGGATAAACAGTATAGGGAAGGTCTGAAGTTCACAGCTTCTGGGAGAAAATATTTCAGAGGCCACAGGATAAGGTCGATAAATGAAAGCATGGAAGACAAAACAACTTTCTCTTAAGACAGCAAGCAGATTGCCTTGAGTTGTCTCTCTTCAGAGGCAAATGTTCCACCTTTGCTACCAACCTGTTGGTCAATACTGAGAGCCTGTGGCTGGGACAAATTATGCCGCACTCTCTTTTCCTGGCAAATTAAGAAATTTTCAGCATCTCGATAAAGTGTCAGATAAAGGAGAGAAAAATTCAATTTAGAAGGCCTTCATAACTCTTCACGAAGGCATTCCCAGGCATATGAATGGGCAGGTGGAGGGGAGGAGGCCTGCCAGCATCGATATCTCATTACTGCTAGCTTCAATGACCTGAGAGGTCAGCAAAGAAATGAGTGTCTCAGGGGAAATTTAGCTTGAGAGCAGTGATTCTGCCTTTCATTGTGTTGATGGACTAACTCCATTCATTCCTCTGACAAAAAAAGGTGGGGCTACTTATTTAGTCTAAGAAATTTCACAGCTGTAAAAGGGACCGTTTAGAGATCATCTGCTCTGTCTCTGACAGATACGGAGGTAGAGGCTCAGAGAACAGCAAGGCAAAGGCTGACTTCGTCAGGGCCCTGGCTTTATGACTACTCTCTACTCTCTGTTGTCACAGATTCTGTAAATCTTTTGGATTTCAATGATGTCTAAGGGTAAAGTCTAAATGTACGGGTGTGTTCTTCGAGAGCCTTCATTCTTTTCTTTTAATTTAAATTTTTTACTTTTTGTTGGTACATAGTAGGTATATATATTTACGGGGTACATGATATATTTTGATACAGGCATACAATTAGTAATAATCACATCAAGGTAAATGGGGTATCCATCACCTTAAGCATTTATCTTTTGTTTTTCAAACAATTCAATTATACTTTTTAAGTTATTTTTAAATGTACAATTAAATTATTATTAACTATAGTCACCCTGTTGTGCTACCAATACTAGATCTACTCATTGTTTCTAACTATATTTTATACTCATTAACCATCCCCACTCTATCCTCCCACCCACCAACTATCCTTCCAGCCTCTGGTAACCATCCTTCTACTCTCTATCTCCATGAGTTCAATTGTTTTAATTTTTAGCTCCCCAAAATAAGTGAGAACAAACAAAGTTTGTCATTCGGTGCCTGGCTTATTTCACCTAACATTATGATCTCAAGTTCTATCCATGTTGTTGCAAATGACAGAATCTCATTCTTTTTATGGTTGAATGGTACTCCATTGTGTATATGGACCACATTTTCTTTACCCATTCATCTGTTGATGGACACTTAGGTTGCTTCCAGATCTTGGCTATTGTGAACAGTGGTGCAATAAACATGGGATATGTTTGTTTCAGATATGTCTTCGATATACTGATTTCCATTCTTTGGGTATATCCAATAGTGTGATTGCTGGATCATATGGTAGCTCTATTTTTAGTTTTTTGAGGAACCTCCAAACTGTTCTCCATAGTGGTTGTAGTAATTTACATTCCCACCAACAGTGTTTGAGGATTCTCTGTTCTCCACATCCTTGCCAGCATTTGTTATTGCCTATCTTTTGGATATAAGCCATTCTAGCGGGGGTGAGATGATATCTCATTGTAGTTTTGGTTTGCATTTCTCTAATAATCAATGATGTTGAGAACCTTTTCATATGCCTCTTGGCCATCTGTACATCTTCTTTTGAGAAATGTCTAGTCAAATCTTTTGCTTATTTTTAAATTGGATTATTTAGATTTTTTTTTCCTATAGAGTTGTTTGAGCTCCTTATAAATTCTGGTTATGAATGCCTGGTCAGATGAATGGTTTGCAAATATTTTTCTCCCATTTTATGGGTTGTCTCTTCACTTTTTGATTGTTTCCTTTGCTGTGCAGAAGGTTTTTAACTTAATGTGATCCCATCTGTCCAGTTTTGCTTTGGTTGCTTGTGCTTGCGGGGTACTGATCAATAAATTTTTGCAAAGACCAATGTCCTGGAGAGGTTCCCCAATATTTTCTTGTAGTAGTTTCATAGTTTGGGGTCTTAGATATAAGTCTGTAACCCACTTAAATTTGATTTTTTTGTATATGGTGAGAGATAGGAGTCTAGTTTCATTCTTCTGCATATGATATGCAGTTTTCCTAGCATCACTTATTGCTGTCTGCTTGTTTTGTGGTCTTTTTTTCCTTCTTGTTTTCTCTTTAGTGAAGGTGATTTTCTCTGGTGATTTCTTGTTTTCTTTTTGTGTATCCGTTGCACATTTTTGAATTTGAGGTTACCATGAGGTTTGTAAATAATATCTCATAACCCATTATTTTAAACTGATGACCAGTGTAACACTGATTGCATAAACAAACTAACACACAAGCAAAGGGACAACTAATGAAAATTCTACACTTTAACTTCATCTCCCACTTTTTTGTTTCTATTTATATCTTATTATATATGTCTTGAAAAGTTGTAGTTATTATTTTTGATTGGTTCATGATTTAGTCTTTGTACTTAAGATATGAGTAGTTTACACACCACAATTACAATGTTATAATATCCTATGTTTTTATGTGTACTTACTGTTACCAATGAGTTTTGTACCTTCAGATGATTTCTTATTGTTTATTAACATCATTTTCTTTCTAAATAAAGAACTCCCTTTAACATTTCTTGTGGGACAGGTCTGGTGTTGATGAAATCCTTCAGCTTTTGTTTGTCTGGGAAAGTATTTCTACTTCACGTTTGAAGAATATTTTTGCTGAATGTACTACTATAGTGTACAATTTTTTTGTTTTTTTTGTGTGTTTTTCCTTCAGCACTTTAAATGTGCTATGACACCCTCTCCTGGTCTGTGAGGTTTCCACTGAAAAGTCGGCTGCCAGATGTACTGGAGTTCCATTGTGTTTGTTTTATTTCTCTTGCTGCTTTTAGGATCCCTTTATTCTTGACTTTTGCAAGTTTGATCATTAAATGCCTTGAAGTAGTCTTCTTTTGGTTAAATATGCTAGGTGTTTTATAACCTACTTGTACTTGAATATTGATAGCTTTCTCAACATTTGGAAAGTTCTTTGTTATTATCCTTTTGAAATAAATGTTCTAACCCTATTTTTCTACCTCCTCTTGAGGCTAGTAAGTCTTAGAATTGCCCCCTTTTGAGGATACTTCCCTAGTCTTGTAGGTGTGCTATATTATTTTTTATTCTTTTTCTCTCTTTTGTCTCTTCTGACTGTGTATTTTCAAATAGCCTTTCTTCAAGCTCACTAATTCTTTCTTCTGCTTGATCAATTCTGCTATTATGAGACTCTGATGCATTCTTTAGTATGTTAATTGTATTTTTCAGCTCCAGAATTTCTGCTTAATTCTTTTCAATTATTTTAATCTTTTTGTTAATCTTGAATTTATAGAATTCTTAATTCCTTGTCTGTGTTATCTTGAATTTTGTCAACTTTCCTCAAAATGGCAACTTTGAATTCCCTAAATTGTCACAAACCTCTGTCTCTCTGGGATTGGTCCCTGGTGTCTTATTTGGTTCATTTGGTGAGGTCATGTTTTCCTGGATGATCTTGATGCTTGTGGATGTTCCTTGCTGTCTGGGCATTTGAATCATTAGGGATTTATTGTAGTCTTCACAGTCTGGGTTAATTTGTATCTGTCCTTTTTGGGAAGGCTTTCAAAAGTATTCAAAGGGACTTAGTTGTTGTGATCTAACTTTTTAGTCCTTGTAGCCATATCTGCATTAAGGGGCACCCCAAAACCAGTAATTCTGTGGCTCTTGCAGACTCGTAGATGTACTGTCTTGGTGGTCTTGGAAAAGATCTGAAAGAATTATCTGGATTACCAGACGGAGACTCTTGTTCTCTTCCTTCCAATCAAATGGAGTCACTCTCTCTCTCTGTGCAGAGCTCCCTGGAGCAAATATCCCTGTGGCCACCACCACTGGGACTGTGCTGGGTCTGACCTGAAGCCAGTATAGCACTGCGTCTTGCCCAAGGTCCACTGTAACTCCTACCTGGCTAGTGCCTATGTTTGCTGAGGGCCCTAGAACTCTACAATCAGCAGGCGGCAAGGCCAGCCAGGCCTGTGTCCTTCCCTTCAGGGCAGCAAGTTCCCCCTCAACCCTGGTTCCTCCCACAACCCTTGGTTCAAAACCAAGTCCTGGAGTTGGATATCTTAGAAATCTACTTGGTGCTCCATTCTACTGTGACTGAGCTTACACCCAAGCACAAGATGAAGTTCTTCCCATCCTTCCCTCCCCTTTCCATAAGCAGAGGCCTCTCTCCCTGTGGCTACCACCACAGGGCCCATGAGGAGTACTGCCAGACTACCACTTATGTTCACCCCAAACCCAAGGGCTCTTCAGTCAGCTTGTAGTGAATCTGGCCAGGCCTGAAACTCACCCTTCAGGGAAGTGAGCTCCTCTCTGGCCCAGGGCAGGTCTAGAAATGCCAACCTAGAGCCATGGCCTGGAATTCGGGACTACAAGCTCCTGCTTGGTTCTCTACCCTTATGTGGCCCAGCTGGTAACTAAGCTGCAAAACAAAGTCTCCTTTACTCTTCCCTCTGCTTTTCTCAAGCAGAAGGAGTCTCTCCCCATAGCCACCATAGATGGGAATGTCCTGGGTCAAACCTGAAGCTCGCATGTCTCAGGGTCTCAGCCAAGGCCTACAACATGTATGACCTGACTATCACTGCTGATTATTCAGGGCCACGGGCTCTTTAGTCAGCAGGTGATGAATCCTGCCAGGACTGGGTCCTTTTCTTCAAAGTAGCAGATTCCCTTCTGGCTCAAGTTATGACTAGAAATGTCATCTGGGCACTAAAGCCTGGAATGGGTACCTCAGGACTCTGCCTGACACCCTATCCTACTGTGACTGAGGTGGTATCCAAGTTGCAAGACAAAGTCTTCTGAACTCTTCTCTCTTCTCCAGAAAGAAAGGGGTCTGTGTTGGAGCTGTGAGATGTGCTGAAGGGGTCTGTGTTGGAGCTGAGCTGTGAGCTGTGAGCTGTGGGGAAGGGATGGCACAAGCACTCCCCTGGCTGTCCTGGCTGATGCCCCTCAAGTTCACTGGCCCTGACCCCGGAACAGCACTAGGACTTGCCTAGGAGTAACAGTCCTTGTGATCCAGACCGCCTTTGAAGTTTATTTAATACCCCAAAGCACTTTAACTCATGGTGGAGAGGCTTGATGGAACTCAATTATGACTAATGGAATTGATGATTCCTCTCTGGTTTGGGCTGGTCTGGCCTAAATGCTCCCTCCATGAGTATTGGCTGAGTTTAGCCTGTTGTTTCTTTCCACTATGACACAGCAGCACTGAGTTCCAATACAAAGTCCCACAATCACTGCACTCTCCCTCCCTGAAGCACAAAGATTTCACATGATGCCAGGAGAAGGGGGAGGGGTGGCATCAGCAATTCAAGATGGTATTTCCTATTCTCTTCAGTTCCTCTATCAGTGATATGAAGTAAAAACCAGGTACTGTGATTGCTCACCTAATTTTTGGTTCTTAGAAAGGTGCTTTTTTTGTGTAGATAGCTGTTAAATTTGGTGTTCCTGAAGGGAGGATGATCAGTGGAGGCTTCTATTTGCCATCTTGAGCTTCCTCCCTCTAAGACCCTTCAGTCTTGATTCTAATTCACCTCTCCACTCTTCATTTTCTACTTCTTTCCCACCTGTATTCCAGCCACAGTGTACATTAACTCATAGTTTCTGGAATGTCCCACGTAATTTCACACCTCTATACCTGTGCCTGTGCCATTCCCACTCCCTAATTGACATTTCTTTCTTTTATTCTCTGTAAGATTCCTAGTCATCCTTCAAAGCCTAGTTCAAATGTTGCTTCCTCTTTTAAAACTTCCTGGATGTTTCAAGGCAGAACTACTTCCTCCCTGTACTATGCTTATAGCATTTTCTATATGTATCTGTTATAACACTACATTATACCATAGGTATATGCTATGACTATATATATTAATATATACATATGCACAGGCAGGTTATCTTGTTTGGAGGTGTTATCCCCATTTAAAATGTTCAGGTATATGTAAAGCAAACACCTTATTCATGCAGCTATTTTTGCAGACCTACATTTGGCCAAGTAGTGGGTACCCAGAATAATATTACTGCCCCAAGAAACTGCATGTATTTCCCAAGTTCAAATACTGAAGTCATAAACATTTATTTATACCAGAAACAGTAGTATATATGAGGATATATGGCTTACTTATGATGTTGAAATACTTTTTATGAACTCATAAATCAAATTCTATTTATAGCATATGGTTTATATATATATTCATTGATATTAATAGACAATAATGTATTTAATACAAAAGCTCTCAGTAGATTAGTTCTGTAGTATATATTTCCTATGCATAATTAGATCAGGTACAGATACATAATTCCAAAATTCATGTAATCCATATTCTGTAGCATCATCCAGGGAAAAATCCCATGAAAATAAGAGGATTATCTTGATAAAAGAAGTTGAAAGAAAATACAAAATTTCAAACACAATTTGAGCCAAAAAAGACAAATCACGAAATTTGTTTATTTGGCTGCTTCCTTGGCTGTCTATTTAAAGCTAAATTTCAAAGTCCTGAGCCTACTACATAAACTGGTGGCTGTGTACCTCTCTTCATTCCTCCAGCCCTGATGGACCATGTGACATACAGTCCTACTCTCCCTCCATATGTGATCTTCCCCTACTCTTCACCTGGCTAAAACCAACCTATCCTGCAAATTTCAGTTTCAGTTTATCTGATGTGCCCAGCTTGGTTAGGTACCTGTTTTGGCCTATCACAACCTCTGGGCTTCCCTCTGTCACAGCACAAATTATACTGTGTGGTCACCATTCACATTTCAGTCTCTCTTATTATACTAAAGCCTTGAGAGCAGGGATCTAATAGGTCAGTCTACAGATATTTATTGAATGTTTACTAAGTGCTGGGCATTATTCTAGGTGCTGGGAATATAGCAATAAACAAAACAAATGCCTTGCCCCAAAGGAGTTTTCATTATAGCAGGAGAAGATTGTCTTAAATTAGTAAACAAAAATTAAATGAAATAAGTTCAGCTACTAATACGTTATGAAGAAAATTAAATGGCATAATTTGGTAATGACTGGGGTAGTGTGGTATATTTCAACTAGAATGATCAGGAAAATATTCTCTGAGGAGGAGACCCAAAAAATGAAAACTTTCCTATGGGAAGAGTGCCAAGTGTTGGAGAGAGAAATGAGCTTGCCATCTTTGGGTGACAGAGAGAAGGTCATAATAGCTAGACCATAGTCACTGAGTGGAAGGGGAAAAAGTAGAAGAAGTAGGCAGAAAACAAGCCCTGTAGTGCCTTATTGGCCATGATAAGAACCTTATTTGAATAGGAATGGAAGCCAAGAAAGGTTTTAAGCAGGGAGAGACATAATCTGGCTGTTGTGTGGAGAATGGATTCTAGGGGCAAGAAGTAGGGAGACCAGTCAAGGCTATTTCAGCAGTCCAAACATATAATAGTGACCTGGATTAGGGTTATGGCAGAGGATATGGAGGAAAGTGAGTGGGTTGGGGACATATATTAGAGATAGAGTGGCAAGACTCACTAATGGACTGGATGTAAGATGTGAGGGAAAGAAAAAAAAATAATGATAGCCCTCAGGTTTTTACCCAAATTCATTTGCTGTGATGAAAAATACCTGAGTTTTTGTTTTGAATATATTCATTTTGACTTGCCTATTTGACATCTGGATTGAGATACTATGCAGACAGTTTGATTATACTAATCTAGAGTTCAGGAGAAGTTAAGGTTGAAAATGTAGATATGGAACTCATTAGCATATAGTTGACATTTAAAGCTATAGGAACAGATTGAATTATGTGGAAAATGAGTATAGCTGGGGAAGAGCAAAGAAAAGAAGAAAGCATAGTGGCTAGAGTACTTTAACATTTAATGTATGGGAGCGAAGAATACATCAAACGATCCTGAGAAAAAGTGGCCACTGTGGAGAAGAAAGAGGACTAAGGGAGTGTGGTATCTTGAAAGCCTAAAGAAGAAAGTATTTCAGGAAGTAGGTTGTCAGTTAACTGTGTGAAGTGCTGCTATGAGATCCAATAACATGAAAACAGGGAAATGACCATTAGAATTGGCAGGATGATGGTCTAAGATGATCTTGATAAAGGGTGTTTCAGAAGAATGTTGTGAATTAAAGTTAAGAGTGGAAAGAGAAGAGTGATGCATGGTGAGAATGTGGAAAGGATGAGTATAGATAATTCATTAGAAAAATTTTGGTATGAAGTAGAGAAATGATTTATAGCCAGAGGAAAATGTGGGGCCAAGGAATTTCCTTCCTTCCTCCCTTCCTTCCTTCCTTCCTTCCTTCCTTCCTTCCTTCCTGTCTACTTATCTATATAAAGATATAAAATATTATTGCTAATTTGTTTGCATATAGGAAATCCAGAAAGTAATAATTGTTTTTTCAAGATGGAGTCTTGCTCTGTCACACAGCCTGGAGTGCAATGGTGCAATCTCAGCCCACTACAACCTCCACCTCAGGGGTTCAAGCAATTCTCTTGCCTCAGCCTCCCCAATAGCTGTGATTACAGGTGCCCGCCACCACGCCCAGCTAGTTTTTGTAATTTTAGTAGAGATGGGGTTTCATCATGTTGGCCAGGCTGGTCTTGAACTCCTGACCTCAAGTGATCCACCCGCCTTGGCCTCCCAAAGTGCTGGGATTACAGGTGTGAGCCACTGCACCTGGCCCAGAAAGTGATAAATTTAAGATGTAGAAGAGATAGGGATAATTTTAGTAAGATCAAATGGGGTCTAAAATACAGGCAGTTGGACTTAGAGAGGAATAAGGACATGTTCCATTCTAACAAAAGGAAAGGCAGGGTGTGTGGGTAAGCATACAAGTAGGTTGATGAATTTTCAGGTAGTTGTTATCATATGGCTTCTTTTTTCTCTTTTAAGAATGAGATAAAGTCACTAGCTAAGATGACCCATTTGATTCCATATTCTTAATGTTTAGAAAAACACGCAGCATACAATAGGCACTCTGGAAACGTTTGCTGAGTGATCCAATTATCAAACAAAATTGCACATGATCTGGCCTCATGAACTGAATCTTCTTAACTCAAGAGGAAGAGCTCTATAAATACAAAGTCTTAGACTGAAATCCTGGGTCTGTCAGTTACCAGTTGTAAGACTCTCACTAAAGTACTTAAGCTTTCTGAGTCTAAAATTTCTTACCCATAATATGAGGATGAAATGCCTACTTCATAGGAATATTATAAAAAATCAACCAGACACTATATATAAGCACTTGTCATAGAGCTTGGCACATAAGTGCTTGATAAATGGATATTGCCACCAGTGGTGTATATTGTCATCATTACTGCTACTTCTACTAATATTGGTCACCATCAAACTCTTCCATTTGTTTCCTCAAATAGATTGCAAATGCCTATAAAGTAAAAGAATCTGTCTTATAAGCCTTTCACAGTAAGTTTCTTTTTAAGATGATGGTGAATACAACTTCTTTGGGTATTCCAAAAACAGAAAGAACCCTTTAGGTTGGGTAGTCAGAGAAAGATTGAATCCACTAGTTTGAAGACTGAAGCCAAACTATTTCATCTTTATTGGCATTTTAAAAAATGCAATTTCATCGATTATCCCTTTCTGCCTTCAAAAGAGTTCATGGGATGAACATTTTCCTCCTGATTTAATAAACAAATAAAGACTTAAGAAAAGTGAAATGATTTAAGGGCTCAGTTTATAAATGTGGAGCTGGGGTGTCTGCATCCAAATGCTCTGTGCTCTCTACTACATTCATTTTTTGAAACATGCCACAAAAAGAGCCAAATGAAAGATATTGAAACTGGCAATAGAAGTGTGAGGCCCCTCTGAGCTATAGCCTGCCCATCTGATATCATACGGTATGGTGGAGACTGGTGAATGACCCCTAAATTTCTTCTCCTCCTTTTCTGGGCATGTCTAAACCACATTTCCTATGAACATTCTCACTGCAATAAATACCAGGCATGTCACCAACTTCTGACCAGTGGGATGTAAATGAAGGTGAAGTGCACCATTTCAGGCCTAAGCTTTAAGGCAGTGGGCTTTCTTTGTGAACTCTCTCTTTCCTCTTTCAATCATCTAGAACCCAAGGGGGCCTAAATTTGTGCAGATGACAAAAATGCCCTAGGTGAAGGTGGAACAGGGTACTGAAAGGAATGTGGATTCCTATATAACTGTGGGGAGTAGAGCTGGCTGCCAGTGTAGACTGCTCAATTCAGAACCATTTGTGAAAGAGAAATGAACGTCATTGTTCTTTAAGTCACAGTACTGTTGGGTTTCCTTGACTATTATTAACACATAGGGAAACATACTTGAGAAGACAGCTGAAGGAGAGGAAGCTTAGGAGAATATGGCAGCTGCTTGAAGATCTCTCCATAGTTCCCTTGAGGCAGAAGGGGCAGATAAGTCCCACATGTACCCAGAAGCAGAACCAGAACAGATGCACAAGTAGGACCCAGAGACAGAGTTTACTTCCATAAAAGGAGGAACTTCCTTTTGGAGTTGTTTTACTGTATGAGAGATGTCTTTCAAGGTAATGAGTTCCTTGTCAGTTCAGGTATGGCAGCAGGGACTGGATGATCTGATAAAAGTGCTACAGTCAGGGCTCAAGCTTTCTTTGTAGGGTTGAACTATATGACCCTTAAGGTCCCTTCCATCCCTGAGAGTCTAGACTGCAGAAGAAAACAAATCTCATCCAATTAAGAACATCAGAAAAGTGAGTGATGACTCACTGATGAAGAAGATGGCTGTGCTTGGATTTCAATTGCCATAATAATCATCATCATCACAGAAGTTCTACTGGCTTTTTCTCCCTTTGATTAAAGTCCTCAGAAATACCTTCAGGCTCCCTTCCAAACAAATGGCCCATTATAGAAACTCAATTTTAATCTGATCTCCTCTCTCAGTAATTACATTATTCGTCAAGAGAACAGGACATTCACTTAATGAAGGGGATGCAGCTCAAAGGGTAAGCACTGCAAACATCCAGAAGTGAAAGGAATGCACTTGGCATGACGTGCCTCCACCAAAGCACATTAGAAAAAGGCTGTGCAGCACGAGAAAAGTATCAGATTGGAAGGCAGAAAGCCTGGGTCCAATCTTTTCCTTGCTTGACTCACTTTCTCTCACTGGGTCTCTACAATTGGGTGGGAGTGCCACTCCCACCCAATCCATATTCCACAAAGAAGCCTGAAGGACTTCCAAAAAACCAAATATGATTAAGACTGTCTATGCTTTAAACCTTTCCCTGAATCTCCACTATTTTGGGATAAACCCTAATATGATCTACCAGCCCCCCTTAGACCCCATTATCTAGACCTGGAATGCCACCTTCCAGCATCAACAGAGTCCATTCTATTAAAGCCATACTTGGGTTCTTTCAGTTCCTAGAAATAGACTAGTTCTTTTCTCAGTCTTTGTAGATGGTGTTCTCTGTCAAGAACACTTCTCTTCTTGCTGTTTGTCTAGGTAACTTCTATTCATCCTTTGGATCTCAGCTTCTTTTCAATTTTATTACTATCCCTTACTATGTGCAAAATACTAAGTGCTTTCTAAATATTAGCTAGTTTTATCATCTTTAATGTGCTGCAAGTAGGTACTATTATTATTCCTATTTTATAGATGGGGACACTAAGACTCAGAGAAGTTACATGCGTCTCCCAAGGTCACAGGGCTAGTAAGTGGCAAAGCAAGTATTCCAACCCAGTCTGGTTTGAGTCCATGCTTTTAACCCCTATACTAAGTTGATCCATCACTTCCTCAGGGTGACCTTTATGATCAAGTGATCTCCCTTATGTATATGACTGCACATGTCACTCCATTGTTAATAAGTATGTAATGCTATCTTCCCTGCTAGTCTGAGAGCTCTGGGAAGATGAGGATACAACCTTTCTTGTCCATTGCTATACCTCCAGCCTCCAGCATACCTTGTAAATTCAGTAAATGGCTTTGGATTTGATTAATACATATACAAATAGGAATCAGTTTTCTAATATGTAAAATTAGAAAAGTTGATCTTGGTCTACATTTTTTTATATTGCTTTAAATAAGAAACAGTCCTAATCTGAGATGCTGGCCTTGATACATGTTGGAAAACTATCATAGTGAAGACCATTTCAACTATTTAAGCCTTAGCTGTTCCCACTGTAGAAGACTACTGGACTAGCTGCTCTTTAAAGACAACTCTAGAGTACCTGAAGTGTTTATAACCACTGCATATTATAGGATGTGAGCATGGGAAATTTTGGTTATATTTGCCTTGTTTAGTGTTGCCTATTTCTGGCCGGATGTAAAATTCTTACTGAATACACCACTAAGAACAGAGCAATTATGAGGCTTGGAAGCACAATTGGTTTTTCAGGCTGGTGAGAAATTCAGGGAACTTAGGAGTAATAGAGGACAGGTATAGTGAAGTGAAGAGAATATACAACCCAAAGGCAAAAGCTCAGGGTTGAGTGCCGGGCTCTTTCAACCTACCAACTATATCATCTTTAATGAGTCAGTTGATTGATAAATTCAGATTCTAAGTGGGACCAAATTAGTGTACTGCTTAGGGATATTACTTTCTCTTTAAACCATTATGCTTCATTTTTAGGAACTTGCAGGTCTGCTTTGTTTCGAGAAGCTTCTGTGGCCTCCAGTTTTCAGTCTTTTGTACTTTCTGCTTTTTAAAGAGTTCAAAGAGGAATTAAAGTGTTAAAGTTATAACATGACCCTTTAGATAATGGCTTCTTAAAGTGGCTAATATCATCTTGAAATCTTCAATTGACAAGCAGTTATTTAGCTCTAATTATATGCCAGAGTTCATAAAATAACTTGGGCAAGTTCTTAACTTCTGTTTGTTGGTATTCTCGCCTATAAAATGGGAACATTCGAATGCAAGTTCAGGAAGTTATGAACACTCAGGGACTGGGCAGGAAGATTCTTGTCATTTCTTTGGTAGGAGGGTCCTCTCCATGAACACTTTTGCAGTGACCTGTGCTTCTCATCACTATGGGTAACATCACAAACTACACACCAGCCCTCCTTGACTCCAACCCTAATTCTCTTTCAGGTGGTTACCAAGTGGTGTCAGCTCTAAGTCCTGAATATCTCCTTAACATCTCAATTCTCACTGCCGTGGTGCTTCCTACATGTCTAGCCAAGATTACTATGACAGTCTCCTCATTTGTCTTCCCATACCAGTCTCTCTGGCCACAGAGAAAGTTCTTAAATTTAAGTGTGACCATATCACTTCCTTGTTTAAACACCGTCAGTAATGCTCCTTGTCCTTGGGATAAATTCAAACCTCTAGGGTATGATATATAACAATTAGAATAGGCTAGGATTAGAAATTTGGCTTTACCAGTACCCTGCCATTGGAACCTGAGGCAAATTAGCTAACTCCCTTAACTCTCTGTTTCTTCATCTGTAAAGTAAGATAATCGTCTTTACACTATAGGGTTGTGGTAAATATTGCATTAAGTACTATGTTTAAGATACTTAGCCTAATGTCTAGGACATAGCTAGAGTGTAATAAGTGATATTTCTTTTTACTACAAAGAAACTCAAATATTACGTATAATTGAGCAAGAAGACAGACATGGTAACAATCATGGAAAACACCAGCAAAAATAGATGTATAAGCAGCATTCTATGTAAGTTCAGAGGCAGAGGGTCATAAACACTGACTGAGAAATAACAGTAGCCTTCTCAGAGGAGGCAGTATTTGATCTAGATCTTGAATGGTCACCTAGGATGACTAACATGGGCAGAGTTTGTTGGACCCCTTTAATGGCTGGTTTTCTGTGCCCCTTTCTGTAGCCTTGCTCACTGGAAGTTGAAATAATTAGCATGGAGGTTCTGTTCACCAGGCTGTGATGATGCACTTATTCTATCGTAAAACTAAGGGCTTATTTTCCAATATAATTGATCCCTTAACCTTCAGAGACTCAAACATTCTCTGTACCTTCAAAACAATAGAAAATTAAAAGAACAATTTCTCTTTACCTTCTAAATCTTGGCAACCAAAAATAGGAGAGCAAGGGAGAGAACATTAAGGTCTCATCGGTTTCAATTCTCAACAATGTAATGTGTATTTTTTCTTATTGGAATTTCAAGAACTCTTATAATTTAATCTGTTATTTATTCTGTTAAAGTGCAGTCTTCCTTAAGAGCAAAAGGATTAATGGTTTCAAATTCCAGCACATTGACCTTTATTCTACATTAAAATGCTTATTTGAAACTATTCTGCCAGGGTTCCCATAAGCCATTCAGTATTGAACATCAAAGAAATATAAAGTTTAACTCCCACTCCACTCAGGAAGCAGAATTTTAGAAATAAAAATAGACTTTTGCATGCATAGATGCATGTAAGATGCTCTGCAGGGTTGTGTATAGACCAGGAGCAGAGGCTTAGTTGGACTAGGGCCTACCTCCTTGGTTCAGCTTTGACTCAGGCCCATCATGGACTGAAGCAAGGTCATTTTCTGAATATTTTTCTGTCACAGAAGAACATACCTTGTTTTATGGCATGGAAGCAAGTGAAGAAAAATCCCAAAGAATGAATGACTTGATGAAACATTAAAAATAAAGTTGAGGCCAGGCACGTTGGTGCACGCCTGTAATTCCAGCACTCTGGGAGGCCAAGGCAGGTGGATCGCCTGACGTCAAGGGTTCACGACCACCCTGACTAACATGGTGAAACCCCGTCTCTACTAAATACAAAAAAATTAGCTGGGCGTGGTGGCACATGCCTGTAATCCTAGCTACTTAGGAGGCTGAGGCAGGAGAATCGCTTGAACCCAGGAGGCAGAGGTTGTAGTGAGCCGAGATCACGCCATTGCACTCCAGCCTGGGCAACAAGAGCGAAACTCTATCTCAAAAAAATAAATACATACATACAAATAAATAAATAAAATAAAATAAAAATAAAGTTCAAAGATTTAATATGGGGAGAAGACGAGAAAGAAGAGAATGTATATTTATTGGCTACCTACTATGAATTTAGCATGGTACTAGGAGCTTTTAAGTAACTTTGTCTGCAAACAACACTTTAGCTCAGGTAGGCGTGATCTCCCTCTCTGAACTCCCACAGCCCCTTATCAATGATCCTTTCACAGCATGGCTCTTCTTACCTTTCCTCACAGTTACTCGTGTATGAGTCTTGCCTCCCACACTAGACTGGGTGCTTTCTTTTAGGGTAGATACAGCTGTTGTTTTAGCCATCTCTCTTTTCTGGAGAGCCAGGTCCATATTTAGATACTAGTTCTGTTGAATTTTGTCAAAATAATCTCTGGAAATCACCTCTTTCCTGTCCAAAATCTTCTGCACATGAATCCCCTTAGTAATATCACCCAAACAGGAGCCATTGCTGGTTCCCTACAAGGCTCTTGGAGCCAGACATGGTCAGACATCTATCTCTCTAGCTTCCCACTGGGACTTTGGTTTCTTACCAAATTTGATCAAATTCCAGACTCTCCGAATAGTCTAATGAGTCCCTTTTGCTGTCATTTAAACTGGGTGCTAATTGGCCCCAACTCAAAAGATTCACATCTCATTTCCACATTATCTCAAGGGCTGGGCCTTCATTGAGCCTCCCTCTCTTACTCCGCATAACTCTAACACCTTTATATGGGATCCTCCAAATAAAATGAGAGCTTTCTTGGCAGAACTCTTGTTGTCCAGTTTCTGGGATTTTTTCACTCTCAATATGAGCTGAACAAATCCAACTGGTAAGCGGCTCCTAGTGTTGGACACATGGCATTCCCCAAGATAGAGTCAGGAAACAGATCATCAAGAGATAAAGTCCTGATTGAGGATTACGTATGGCATTACAGGTATGATAGGCATATTAAAGGGATAATGTTTAGGGAGAGCACCAGCCTGAATGGGCTGAATAAAATGAAATGGCATATAAAAATTATCTCTCATAGAGCTGGCCCAGAGCAGGTGCTCAATGAATATGTCGCAGCCCCTATGGTATTATTCCAAAAACTTCTAGGGAACATCTCATCTATACCAAGCTCTGGGCTGGGCACTGGGGACACAGTGATAAATCAGATCCAGTCCTTGTCCATAATTAGTTCACAATCTAGCAGGGAGAAAGGGGAACAAAGATAATACTAGGCATAAAATGCTGGATTAAAAAGAGGCACAAAGCACTGAGAGAAACAGAGGAAGGCAGGCCTGAATCTTCCTGAGGAATTAGTGGAGCCTTGAAGTAAGGGGGACATTTGATCTGGGTCCTGAACCATGAGTAGAAATTCTTAGACAACTTCACCTCAGAAAAAGCAGATGGACCAATTGTACAAGGCCCACAATATGTATATGAAATATACCTTGACCTTTGAATATAGTGAGCAGTTTGGGATGGAGTATAGCATGCCTGGTGACGTTAGAGGGAAATAAGACTGGAACGAGTTTAGAGCAAGATGTTTGATGAGCACTGTTTCTCACCTTGCAGTCCAAATAACTTCTTATGGTAATACTGGGGGACATGGGAATGGGTATAGGCAGAGCCAAGACTGGAACCCAGGTCACAGACCTTGAACCCTGCATTTTCCACTATAACTAGCATCTAATAAAAACCAACCAAGAATATTTAGTTGAAAAATCATATCACCTATCTGTTGATAAATGCAGGCTATTTATCAAAACCACAAAATTGAAAGTCACATTCAACTCTGAATTCCCATAGAAACTAAATTTCAAGTTAGAGAGAAACTTTTCCATACAGTAGTCCCTACTTATCCATTTTCATTTTCCATGGTTTCAGTTCCCCACAGTCCAAAAATATTAAATAAAAAATTCCAGAAATAAACAATTCATAAGTTTTAAATTGTGGGCTGTTAAATAACATGGTGAAATCTCACACCATCCCTCTTCATCCCACTTCATCCCACATAGGACTTGAATTATTATCCTTTTGTCTGACGTAGCCATACACTACCTGCCCATTAGTCACTGAGTAGCCATCTTGGTTATCAGATTGACTGTCCTGGAATCACAGTGCTTGTATTCAAGTAACCCTTATTTTACTTTTATTACAGTATATTGTTATAATTGTTCTATTTTACTGTTAGATATTGTTGTTAATCTCTTACTATGCCCAATTTATAAATCAAACTTTATCATAGGCATGCATGATAGGAAAAAACATAGTATATATAGGATTTTGTACTATCTATGGTTTCAGACATTCACTGAGGGTCTCAGAACATAACCCCTGAGTCCCAGCACTTTGGGAGGCCGAGGCAGGTGGATCACAAGGTCAGGAGTTCAAGACCAGCCTGACCAACATGGTGAAACCCCGTCTCTACTAAAAATACAAAAATTAGCTGGACATGGTGGTGTGTGCCTGTAATCCCAGCTACTCAGGAGGCTGAGGCAGGAGAATTGCTTGAACCTGAGAGGCAGAGGTTGCAGTGAGCCGAGACTGCACCACTGCACTCCAGCCTAGGCGACAGAGTGAGACTCCGTCTCAAAAAAAAAAAGGGAGGAGGAGCCAAGATGGCCGAATAGGAACAGCTCGGGTCTACAGCTCCCAGCGTGAGCGACGCAGAAGACAGGTGATTTCTGCATTTCCATCTGAGGTACCGGGTTCATCTCACTAGGGAGTGCCAGACAGTGGGCGCAGGTCAGTGGGTGCGTGCACCGTGCGCGAGCCAAAGCAGGGTGAGGCATTGCCTCACTCGGGAAGCGCAAGGGGTCAGGGAGTTCCCTTTCCTAGTCAAAGAAAGGGGTGATGAAGGGCACCTGGAAAATCGGGTCACTCCCACCCGAATACTGTGCTTTTCCAACGGGCTTAAAAAACGGCGCACCACGAGATTATATCCCACACCTGGCTCGGAGGGTCCTACGCCCACGGAGTCTTGCTGATTGCTAGCACAGCAGTCTGAGATCAAACTGCAAGGCGGCAGCGAGGCTGGGGGAGGGGCGCCCGCCATTGCCCAGGCTTGCTTAGGTAAACAAAGCAGCGGGGAAGCTCGAACTGGGTGGAGCCCACCACAGCTCAAGGAGGCTTGCCTGCCTCTGTAGGCTCCACCTCTGGGGGCAGGGCACAGACAAACAAAAAGACAGCAGTAACCTCTGCAGACTTAAATGTCCCTGTCTGACAGCTTTGAAGAGAGCAGTGGTTCTCCCAGTACGCAGCTGGAGATCTGAGAACGGGCAGACTGCCTCCTCAAGTGGGTCCCTGACCCCTGACCCCTGAGCAGCCTAACTGGGAGGCACCCCCCAGCAGGGGCACACTGACACCTCACACGGCAGAGTATTCCAACAGACCTGCAGCTGAGGGTCCTGTCTGTTAGAAGGAAAACTAACAAACAGAAAGGACATCCACACCAAAAACCCATCTGTACATCACCATCATCAAAGACCAAAAGTAGATAAAACCACAAAGATGGGGAAAAAACAGAACAGAAAAACTGGAAACTCTAAAAAGCAGAGCGCCTCTCCTCCTCCAAAGGAACGCAGTTCCTCACCAGCAACGGAACAAAGCTGGATGGAGAACGACTTTGACGAGCTGAGAGAAGAAGGCTTCAGACGATCAAATTACTCTGAGCTACGGGAGGACATTCAAACCAAAGGCAAAGAAGTTGAAAACTTTGAAAAAAATTTAGAAGAATGTATAACTAGAATAACCAATACAGAGAAGTGCTTAAAGGAGCTGATGGAGCTGAAAACCAAGGCTCGAGAACTACGTGAAGAATGCAGAAGCCTCAGGAGCCGATGCGATCAACTGGAAGAAAGGGTATCAGCAATGGAAGATGAAATGAATGAAATGAAGCGAGAAGGGAAGTTTAGAGAAAAAAGAATAAAAAGAAATGAGCAAAGCCTCCAAGAAATATGGGACTATGTGAAAAGACCAAATCTACGTCTGACTGGTGTACCTGAAAGTGACGGGGAGAATGGAACCAAGTTGGAAAACACTCTGCAGGATATTATCCAGGAGAACTTCCCCAATCTAGCAAGGCAGGCCAACGTTCAGATTCAGGAAATACAGAGAACGCCACAAAGATACTCCTCGAGAAGAGCAACTCCAAGACACATAATTGTCAGATTCACCAAAGTTGCAATGAAGGAAAAAATGTTAAGGGAAGCCAGAGAGAAAGGTCGGGTTACCCTCAAAGGGAAGCCCATCAGACTAACAGTGGATCTCTCGGCAGAAACCCTACAAGCCAGAAGAGAGTGGGGGCCAATATTCAACATTCTTAAAGAAAAGAATTTTCAACCCAGAATTTCATATCCAGCCAAACTAAGCTTCAAAAGTGAAGGAGAAATAAAATACTTTACAGACAAGCAAATGCTGAGAGATTTTGTCACCACCAGGCCTGCCCTAAATGAGCTCCTGAAGGAAGCACTAAACATGGAAAGGAACAACCAGTACCAGCCACTGCAAAATCATGCCAAAATGTAAAGACCATCAAGACTAGGAAGAAACTGCATCAACTAACGAGCAAAATAACCAGCTAACATCATCATGACAGGATCAAATTAACACATAACGATATTAACTTTAAATGTAAATGGACTAAATGCTCCAATAAAAGACACAGACTGGCAAATTGGATAAAGAGTCAAGACCCATCAGTGTGCTGTATTCAGGAAACCCATCTCACGTGCAGAGACACACATAGGCTCAAAATAAAAGGATGGAGGAAGATCTACTAAGCAAATGGAAAACAAAAAAAGGCAGGGGTTGCAATCCTAGTCTCTGATAAAACAGACTTTAAACCAACAAAGATCAAAAGAGACAAAGAAGGCCACTACATAATGGTAAAGGGATCAATTCAACAAGAAGAGCTAACTATCCTAAATATATATGCACCCAATACAGGAGCACCCAGATTCATAAAGCAAGTCCTGAGTGACTTGCAAAGAGACTTAGACTCCCACACATTAATAATGGGAGACTTTAACACCCCACTGTCAACATTAGACAGATCAACGAGACAGAAAGTCAACAAGGATACCCAGGAATTGAACTCAGCTCTGCACCAAGCGGACCTAATAGACATCTACAGAACTCTCCACCACAAATCAACAGAATATACATTTTTTTCAGCACCACACCACACCTATTCCAAAATTGACCACATACTTGGAAGTAAAGCTCTCCTCAGCAAATGTAAAAGAACAGAGATTATAACAAACTGTCTCTCAGACCACAGTGCAATCAAACTAGAACTCAGGATTAAGAATCTCACTCAAAACCGCTCAACTACATGGAAACTGAACAACCTGCTCCTGAATGACTACTGGGTACATAACGAAATGAAGGCAGAAATAAAGATGTTCTTTGAAACCAACGAGAACAAAGACACAACATACCATTATCTGTGGGACGCATTCAGAGGAGTGTGTAGAGGGAAATTTATAGCACTAAATGCCCACAAGAGAAAGCAGGAAAGATCCAAAATTGACACCCTAAGATCACAATTAAAAGAACTAGAAAAGCAAGAGCAAACACATTCAAAAGCTAGCAGAAGGCAAGAAATAACTAAAATCAGAGCAGAACTGAAGGAAATAGAGACACAAAAAACCCTTCAAAAAATTAATGAATCCAGGAGCTGGTTTTTTGAAAGGATCAACAAAATAGATAGACTGCTAGCAAGACTAATAAAGAAAAAAAGAGAGAAGAATCAAATAGACGCAATAAAAAATGATAAAGGGGATATCACCACTGATCCCACAGAAATACAAACTACCATCAGAGAATACTACAAACACCTCTACGCAAATAAACTAAAAAATCTAGAAGAAATGGATAAATTCCTTGACACATACACCCTCCCAAGACTAAACCAGGAAGAAGTTGAATCTCTGAATAGACCAATAACAGGAGCTGAAATTGTGGCAATAATCAATAGCTTACCAACCAAAAAGAGTCCAGGACCAGATGGATTCACAGCCGAATTCTACCAGAGGTACAAGGAGGAACTGGTACCATTCCTTCTGAAACTATTCCAATCAATAGAAAAAGAGGGAATCCTCCCTAACTCATTTGATGAGGCCAGCATCATTCTGATACCAAAGCCTGGCAGAGACACAACCAAAAAAGAGAATTTTAGACCAATATCCTTGATGAATATTGATGCAAAAATCCTCAATAAAATACTGGCAAAACGAATCCAGCAGCACATCAAAAAGCTTATCCACCATGATCAAGTGGGCTTCATCCCTGGGATGCAAGGCTGGTTCAATATACGCAAATCAATAAATGTAATCCAGCATATAAACAGAGCCAAAGACAAAAACCACATGATTATCTCAATAGATGCAGAAAAGGCCTTTGACAAAATTCAACAACCATTCATGCTAGAAACTCTCAATAAATTAGGTATTGATGGGACATATCTCAAAATAATAAGAGCTATCTATGACAAACCCACAGCCAATATCATACTGAATGGGCAAAAACTGGAAGCATTCCCTTTGAAAACTGGCACAAGACAGGGATGCCCTCTCTCACCACTCCTATTCAACATAGTGATGGTAGTTCTGGCCAGGGCAATTAGGCAGGAGAAGGAAATAAAGGGTATTCAATTAGGAAAAGAGGAAGTCAAATTGTCCCTCTTTGCAGACGACATGATTGTATATCTAGAAAACTCCATTGACTCAGCCCAAAATCTCCTTAAGCTGATAAGCAACTTCAGCAAAGTCTCAGGATACAAAATCAATGTACAAAAATCACAAGCATTCTTATACACCAACAACAGACAAACAGAGAGCCAAATCATGAGTGAACTCCCATTCACAATTGCTTCAAAGAGAATAAAATACCTAGGAATCCAACTTACAAGGGATGTGAAGGACCTCTTCAAGGAGAACTACAAACCACTGCTCAAGGAAATAAAAGAGGATACAAACAAATGGAAGAACATTCCATGCTCATGGGTAGGAAGAATCAATATCGTGAAAATGGCCATACTGCCCAAGGTAATTTACAGATTCAATGCCATGCCCATCAAGCTACCAATGCCTTTCTTCACAGAATTGGAAAAAACTACTTTAAAGTTCATATGGAACCAAAAAAGAGCTCGCATCGCCAAGTCAATCCTAAGCCAAAAGAACAAAGCTGGAGGCATCACACTACCTGACTTCAAACTATACTACAAGGCTACAGTAACCAAAACAGCATGGTACTGGTACCAAAACAGAGATATAGATCAATGGAACAGAACAGAGCCCTCAGAAATAACGCCGCATATCTACAACTATCTGATCTTTGACAAACCTGAGAAAAATAAGCAATGGGGAAAGGATTCCCTATTTAATAAATGGTGCTGGGAAAACTAGCTAGCCATATGTAGAAAGCTGAAACTGGATCCCTTCCTTACACCTTATACAAAAATCAATTCAAGATGGATTAAAGACTTAAACGTTAGACCTAAAACCATAAAAACTCTAGAAGAAAACCTAGGCAATACCATTCAGGACATAGGCATGGGCAAGGACTTCCTGTCTAAAACACCAAAAGCAATGGCAACAAAAGACAAAATTGACAAATGGGATCTAATTAAACTAAAGAGCTTCTGTACAGCAAAAGAAACTACCATCAGAGTGAACAGGCAACCTACAAAATGGGAGAAAATTTTTGCAACCTACTCATCTGACAAAGGGCTAATATCCAGAATCTACAATGAACTCAAACAAATTTACAAGAAAAAAACAAACAACCCCATCAAAAAGTGGGCAAAGGACATGAACAGACACTTCTCAAAAGAAGATATTTATGCAGCCAAAAGACACATGAAAAAATGCTCACCATCACTGGCCATCAGAGAAATGCAAATCAAAACCACAATGAGATACCATCTCACACCAGTTAGAATGGCAATCATTAAAAAGTCAGGAAACAACAGGTGCTGGAGAGGGTGTGGAGAAATAGGAACACTTTTACACTGTTGGTGGGACTGTAAACTAGTTCAACCATTGTGCAAGTCAGTGTGGCGATTCCTCAGGGATCTAGAACTAGAAATACCATTTAACCCTGCCATCCCATTACTGGGTATATACCCAAAGGACTATAAATCATGCTGCTATAAAGACACATGCACACATATGTTTATTGCGGCACTATTCACAATAGCAAAGACTTGGAACCAACCCAAATGTCCAACAATGATAGACTGGATTAAGAAAATGTGGCACATGTACACCATCGAATCCTATGCAGCCATAAAAAGTGATGAGTTCATGTCCTTTGTAGGGACATGGATGAAAATGGAAATCATCATTCTCAGTAAACTATCGCAAGAACCAAAAACCAAACACCGCATATTCTCACTCATAGGTGGGAATTGAACAATGAGATCACATGGACACAGGAAGGGGAACATCACACTCTGGGGACTGTTGTGGGGTGGGGGGTGGGGGGAGGGATAGCATTGGGAGATATACCTAATGCTAGATGACAAGTTAGTGGGTGCAGCACACCAGCATGGCACATATATACATATGTAATTAACCTGCACAATGTGCACATGTACCCTAAAACTTAAAATATAATAATAAAAGAAAAAAAAAAGCTACATAAAAAAAAAGGAACTCCCCCACCCCCTCCAAGTATAAGGGAGGGCTACTGTACAATGGTGTGAAAAGCAGGCAGATTACAGGGAAGCCTGTGACTCCCTTTCTGTGTGGAGGCCGTTCAGAGTACAATTTTCTTGTCTTTTTGCTCGAATATAAAGATGACACGGATAACAGTGAGCCTGGGTTTCAGAGCTAACTATCTGCTCTCTTAAAAAGGTGCTGTGTGCAGGGAAAATATAGAGACAAAGACAGAGAAAGAGACCCAGAGACAGAGAGGGAGAAGAAAGAGAGAGACAAAGACCAAAAAACATAAAGACAGAATTATGAGCAGGTGGTTGGGGAGTATGTGAGGAAGAGAACAGACATCTATTAAGAGTCTCTTATATACTAGGCACTGTGGTACATACTTAACATAAGAGCATGTAGTTGTCATAAGATAAGAAGAGAGAGCTAGGGAGTTCCAATTCACTCTTACAGCATAATCCAAACCCATAGCTCTAGAAAATAGGCCTATTCCCAGAGAAGAGTCCTCAAAACTGTTGTGGTTTTTGGTCCGATTAAGGAAGTGACATGTTATCCATAAGCAGGAACTATTCCTGACCTGTACCTGAAATTCTACCATTCTATTTGCTCTTTCAGTTTAAACATTTGCCCTCAGTTCCAAAGCAAACTCCTGAGTGAAAGATCCAAGAGCCCCTTTGGCTGAACTGTAGAAAGTGAATGTTCTGGTTTGAATGTTTGTCCCCTCTAAAACTCATGTTGAAAGTTAATCCCCAATGTAACAGCATTAAGAGGTGGGACCTGTAAGAGATAATTGGGTCATGAGGGCATGAGCCCTCATTATGTGTTAATAGATTATTAATAAGTCATCATGTGAGTGAATTAGTTATCATGAGAGTGGATCTGTTATAAAAGCCAGGTCAGCTCTCTCACAAGCCCTCCTGCCTGGTGATGCTTTCTTCCATGGTATGGTGCAGCAAGCAGGCCCTCACCAGAAGCTGAGCAGATGCTGGTGCCATGCCCCTGGGCTTCCCAGCCTCCAAAACTGTAAGAAATGAATTTATTCCTTATAAATTACCCAGTCTCAGGTATTCAATTACAGCAACAGGAAACAGAATAAGACAGTGAGCATGACAGCAAATAACCAAAGAGATGAGTGTTTGTAGATGACATATTTGTGGCAATATGACTTGCCTGTGGTATCCTGGGGGTGTCCAGGAAACCTCACAGAATGTGACTGCCACAAGCTTGGTATCTTCTTTACACATCATGGGTTCAATATAGAACACTAAGCAACACTAAGCAATGTCCAGGAATTCTAATGGGAAGCTGGTTGCAGCAGAAGCAAAAGCTTCTCTGGAGGACACTGAGAGTCTTGGTGAGCAAGAAAACAATGGCAGAATAGATACTCCTTCAGGAGCCCTTTATTTTACAAAGTTGGAAGGAACGGGGCTTCATAATACCCAGGCAACCTTCCAATTTAAAAAGTTTATAGGCTCCATCTGTCCCAGAAGAGGCTTCTCTGAGTTTCCTCATTTATTGTCCCTACCATTATGCTCTGCCTATCCCCACCTCTTCTGTATTCTATTTGCTGCTCCCCAATTCCCACCTCTCTGGGTAGTTCTTGCCCATTCTAGCCACTCATTCTTCCCCTAATTGCTTACATCAGAAAGCAGCACAGATCACTAGGCTGGGAACTAGGGCACTTAACCCTGCCACTTTCCAGCTATGAGGCCCTAGATAAGTCTGAGCCTTAGTTTCACAGTTTGGAAGTACATGGCGTCCAGGTTCCTTATACCTAAAAATGGGATCATTCTTTCATGCTTTGAGATTTAACTTAAGGTCTACATTCTCTAGCAAGCCATTTCTATTTGTCCACCCCTTTCTTGTCCTCTTTTATATTATATTGTCCTTATTGATGGACCCACACATTTATAATATAAGGACAATACTGTGTTTTCTAACACAATATTAGGAATGTTAAAAGTCTTGTTTCTCTCTAATGCAATAAAAAAACCCTGAGGAAGTGGTTTCACTGATTGTGTGCTATTCCGTTCTTCCCCCTTCTCTCCATGTGCACATCCCAGGACTGGACTGAGCTGTATAAGTATTTTTAAAATGAAGTAGAAGGAATCTTGTCAACTAAGGTTACTCCATTTCTGAAAGCCTGACTGGAAATGGCTTCCTGAATCCTATATTATCAGTTTTCTGAGAAAATTGGTGAGACAGGGCATTCCAGGCAGAGGAAAGAGCAATAAAATACAAGTTAAATGCTTTAGACCAAGAGGTAGTATAATATTGTCGTTAAGTGTACAGGCTTTGGAGCCAAAACTTTGGCTTCCAATTCTAGCTCTGCCACTGAATACCTTATCCTCTTGTGCCTCAGTTTTCCCTTTTATAACATGAAAATAATCTATGAGGGATGCTTGGAAACTTAGAACACAGCTTCACATTTTCGTTCACTGCTGAATTCCTCCCAGTGTTATTTCTAAACCTGCCCTCTGTATGAAGGCGGGCCAGCCTCTTACAGATTGACCACTGCATGCCAGGTCAGCCTCTTCATATTATTTTTTTCTTGCCTGTTAGTCACCATGCACAAAATTCCCTCTCACTGATGCCTTCTAAAGCTCTAGCTGCTTTGCTAGCCCACATGCAGTCCCACCCTACAGGGAACCTCCTTCATTGCTCTGGTCTGTCATTCTCTCTCTCATGGAGCTACCTAATCATATATGAGCAGTAGCCATATAACTTACCCAAATAAGGACACTTCTGAGAGTGAAAGACAATGTTATTATTCATTATGTTGGGATGACAGGTATAAGTAAGGACTATCCTGATCAGAAGGAGAGAGATACACAGTTATCTTACCAATGGACCCAGGGGTATTGAGATAACACTGCTTCTTACAGTCTTTCTCTTTCTAGTATTTCCATAGAAATCTGCATAGTATTTTCCAGCCTACAAAAAACTTCTACCTCATAGTCTCACTGATGATCACACCAGTTCTGGGAATCTACTGCGTAGGACTATTTCTTGCACAAAGTGGTTTTTCTTAGGTCACCTAGAGGCTGGAACTGGACAGAACCTTATGTTTCACTCTGGCATCCACTTTAGCCCCTGATTGTGTTGGGGTTTTTTTGGGGGGAGTTGATTTTGTTCCCTTAGGTTGGTGGTAGAAGAAAGAATCATGCCATACTTCTTTTCCCCTCATCTTTCCGCTATCTAAAGCTGGGGGAATGGTAGGGTTTGAGAAAGGTGAAATGAGAAGCTAACAAAGAAACAATCAGAAAGTGGCAAAGTATCAATAAATCTAATCTCATTCAAGAAATAATTATAAATATTTATCTAGATGATAGGATTTCAAGTAATTTTTTTTTTTTTTTTTTGAGATGGAGTCTCGCTGTGTCGCCCAGGCTGGAGTGCAGTGGCGCGATCTCCGTTCACTGCAAGCTCCGCCTCCTGGGTTCACGCCATTCTCCTGCCTCAGCTTCCTGAGTAGCTGGGACTACAGGCGCCCGCCACCACGCCTGGCTAATTTTTTTTTTATTTTTAGTACAGACGGGGTTTCACCATGTTAGCCAGGATGGTCTCGATCTCCTGACCTCGTGATCCGCCCGCCTAGGCCTCCTAAAGTGCTGGGATTACAGGCTTGAGCCACCGCGCCTGGCCTCAAGTGATTTTTAACATTATCCTTACTCCGTTCTATATCCTTTGAATTAGCATGTACCACTTACATAATTTTACAAAATGCTATTTCATTTATTTTTTTCGTTTTAAAGAAAGAAACCCGAGTCTTCAGTAAAATGGTCAATTTCAGCGGAAAAAAACCCCCAAAAACAAAAACATAGGCTTTTCAACCAGACCTAGGTTTTCATCTTAATTCTACTCTGTGACCTTGAGTAAGTCACATATGCCTTCAAGCCTCAGCCTCAGTTTCCTAATGGGTAGAATATAGACACCACCACCCACTTCACAGGGCTGTTAATGACGATTCCACAAGATTCAAAAAGTGAGTACCCCAGGTAAGGGCCCAGCTTGTGGCAGACTCTCAATAAATGTTCATTCCCTTCATGTGGGTGTTATTGATGCAGCTTCCCAAGGCTTCTGACAAGACTTGCCACCTCCTCTGCTCACAGCTCTGGAGTCATCAGGGGCATGCCTGTGACAGCTGTACCCCCTCAGCATGCCAGTGGGGCTGTCCAGAGATGCTGGGTGCCTAATGCGGGGAGGCAGTCCTGTCAGAATCACTGGGGGTTACTCATCCCAGCTTCAGGGTTTCTGACAGGATGTTTTGATAAAATAAATCTATTTTAAGTGAATGTAATGAAATAGTAACCAGCTTCTGAAGGGCTCTTAAGATGTTTTTAAGAAGTTTCAGATCAAAGGCCCTGGGAAGGCAGACTTCATGCATTAAATATTTAGTACTGACTCAGTCACTTGAGAGTGCCGGAGTTTTGACATTGTAAGAGGAAGAAAGCACATTCTAGCTGGGGCCACACTCATGTTAAAGACACAAGTGATGGGATTCAGGAGCAAGAGGCCAATCTTCTGGCTCCTATTGGCTGGAAAGTTGGAGGTCATGACCTCAAAGGCTGTCTGCCTAAAGATTCAGGATGTGATAGAATTATTCAGGATCTATAGTAGTTGGGTAAACAGGTCGTCAGCGAACCCTGACAGCAGGGATCTGCCTTCCCAGCTGTTACTACCAGGCTCAGTGCCTGTCATTCTGCACATTGCCACTTGGAGCCCACCAAGTGTGTGAAATCTGCAATGTGCTTTGCAGTCCAGCTGAGAGATACTGTCCTTGAGACCACACATGGACTCACACAGTCCTGGCAGGTGAGGCTCAATGAGGAGAAGAGATTTGTTGAAGAAAGGCCACACTACACATTAATGGTATGACTGGGAATGGTGTCAAGAGCTCCTGCCTGACTGTTCCAAGGTCTTTCCAATATATTACACTGCCCCTTTAATGAAAAACAGCTACCACTGGTGTAGACATAGAAGGACAGGAAGAAGCCTAGAATAGGGTGTAAAGTAGTGGCCCTTGATCTATATCAGGTCATAGCTACCTCTGGAAGTCTGGTAGAAGTTACAGATCCTCTCCCAGAAAAATGCACGCATGTACTAGTATGTACTACGGTTGACATCTAGTGTTGGAGAATTAGAGCATCCTTTTAAACACATTCTTGAACATCAGATTGCAAAACCTTGAAACCGAAGTCATAGTAGACCCTGTGATCCCAGAGCTTACAACTTTGAGTTTCTTGAATGACTTTTAGAATAGTGGTATGACAGTAGAACCATCACAAGGTTTGGTATTATACAAACCTGGATTAGAGCAGCACCTAGCACATATGTAATATTAAGGAATTACTTAATTTCTCTTAACTTCAGATTCCTATTTCTAACGTGGCATAATATCATCTAATGGAGATATTTGGAGTTCAAACATGTAAATAATTTTGAGCCCCTGAATACATGCAAAAGATACAAAGTTCCCATCCATCTCTATCTACTTCCAAAAAACCCTGATGGATTCCTTCAGCATCCAGTCATCCACTCTATTCCCACCTTACAACTAAACTTTAGACTCCAGGAGGGCAGAAATCATGTCTAGATTGCTCACAATAACTACCTCTGAGTATACTGACTGGCACATGATAGGTGCTTAATATATATTGAACGAATGAATTAAAATAACAAAATAATGAGTCCAGTGGATACACAGTAACTTCCAGAGAGGGGGCAGGAGCAGTAAATAGAGCACTAACCCTGGGGAAACTTCAAATATTGCTTTTGGCCACAGACCAAAGGTGTTTCAGGGCCCAGAAAAACTAATGACTTAGGAACTGGCATTCAGAGAAGACAACCTAGAGGAAGATCTCCCTGTTTATCTCTGTTCATTGTTTCATTCCCCTTCACCATTGTCATAGGCCTGGTCTCTTCCTACATGACAAGCCGAGGAGCTGCAGTTACACCAAAACCAGGTCAAGTAAGCCTAAAACCTAGGAATAAGGGACCAGGTAGGAAGTAGGAAGAGGCACAAGTTATTAGCTCCTACCTGACCCCGCCTTTGATTCTGCAGGCACTACCACTTCCACCTGGAAGATTAGCTGTGCTCAGTTTCTGAGCCAGTCCTAACAGGGAAGAGAGTACAGAAGCAGTTTTAGTCTCCTCTACAGGTGGAGTCTTGTTGTCCTGGGTTAGAAGGCACACGTGAGGTGAGCCCCCACATCCTTACATACCAGTGGAGGTGAGCCCCAAACCCTTACATACCAATGGAGTCAGAGTTCCCAAGAATACCTTTCTTGGAATTCAAGGTCAGTCTGAACCTAAACCTGGCAAGCCCCAACTCAGACCCTTGCCACCTCTTCTCCTAGAGCCTGAAGGATGCTTCCATGCCTGAGGTAGTGGTAATAAACAGAAGGGAGGAGAAGCACTATGTCACCACCCACTTAACTTCCAATACTAACTATTGTTTGGAAGTTCTTCCTGACATGACAAAATCCCCTTAGAAAGACACACACATTTGTCAGACATTTCTGGGTCCTGAGCATCCAAGCTGAATTTAACACATTCCTTATAATCCCCTTCTTTACCCCTTTGGTGGCTCTATCTTTCACCAGTTTAAACAAGCCAGAAACCTAGAAATAATGCTTGATTCCTCTCTTTTCCTCACCTACAACATTCAACTAATCACAGATCCTGTGAATTTTAACTCCTAGATATTTCTTGAATTTTTCAACTCTTTTCCATGTTTTCTGCTAGTGTCATAATTGTTAGAGAACTCCCTAACAATATTCTCTGACCTTTAATCCATCCTCCACATAACAACCCAAATTACTTAATATAAAATATTTGACCCTGTTATTCCTTTGTGTAAACTCCTACATTGACATCCCATCACAACCAGAAACCAAAAAAACAAACGATTCTGGCTTCTCCGTGTCCCTGGGCTCCTTAGGTATGTACATTCGAGAAGATACACAGTGACTCCTTCTCTGGCTTAACAGAAGGAGAATAGGAAGTATGAGCTATCACAAGTTGGAATAGGCTATTATTGAAGGTAGTGAGTTCTCTGTGCCTGAAAGAGTGTCTGTAGAGCCTGAATAACCACTCACTGGGATGCTGTGGAAAAACTCTGCTCTTGGATAAGAGACGGGTTATATGCCATACGAAGGAAAATTCTGTCCTGAAGAGACTTCCAGGGGTTTCAGGATAGCATGTACCTTGGGGACAATAACACCTCCCTGCTCCTCTCATCCTCCCCACATGGACATCAGTAGGAGGAGGCCCCACCTCAAGGAAAGCAGTTTCTCTTCTGAAACCAGCCTGACCCATAGCCAGCATAAATGAGATGTTGTTTTGGCATTTCTTCTTCAGGTCAATGTAATCAGTGTAGAAAATGTAAATGAATAATTTAGGTTTCCAGAAATAAATTAACTGGAGCCAAGATTGTCAAATGTGGCTGTCTACCCTGATCAAGGTAACCAGGTAAATACCAAATCTCACTCCCTTTTCCTGCAACATAGCTTTTTAGGCATTCCTTACTAAGTGACGAGAAAGAAACAAAGTCTTCAGGATAACAAAAACAAACACTTTGCATTTGTGTAGCTGTTTAGAAATGTAACATGCTGTTAAATTATAGTTACCAGTTGAGAATCTAATGTGTTCCAGGCAACATGGCAGCTGCTTTTTAGACATAATATTTTTTAAATCACAGACTTTTGAGACAAATTTATTAGGTTCATATTGCAAGTCTCAACTCTGCCTCTAATTAGCTGTGTGATTTTAGGCAAGTTATTTAGTCTCTTTGCACCTCAGTTTCCTGATCTTTAAAATGGACAGAGTAAGGGCGCACGCTTTAAAAGGCAGGATAATACACACAAAGAACTTAGCTAGTGCCATATGTGGCACATATACACATTCAGTAAATGTTAGCTTTGGTTTATATTACCCCTGACAAATACCCTGAAAAGTAAGGGTTATTTTGCAAATGTGCAGATGAAGAAAGAGGCTGAGTGATATGGAATAATGTTCTTAATTTGGTAATGAATTAGTGGTGTATCTCGGATTCAAATGCGATCTGTCTGACTCTAAAACCTCTGTGTTGAGAGAGCAGCATGGTTAGTTTTACTAATGTGGCTGTTGTCACCATCAACAAAACTAATAGCATTAATAACAATGCCCTCTCACTTGGGCACAGCACTTTTGAGTCTTCAAAGAAAATGTAGACACATTATTAAAGAATTATCAGCCCTTGGGCCTGTAAACAACTTCATGGAACCTCATCCACACTTTCCATCTCAGGGCAGAAGCCATCCTGTGGTACCCTTGACAGGTGATCATCTGTCCAAGATGGGTCTCACCAGTTCTAAAAGGAAATAAGCAGAAAGGACTACTCTTGAGCAGAACAGATGTGGGCAGGGCAAAGACTCTATGATATGGGAGGCTCCAGTATTGAGGGAGATCTCAGAGATGGAAACACACCTATCAGTCTTCCTGAACACTTTCAGGCCCTCAGACTGCATGGCAGGGGGTGTCCTGGAGGAGGAGGGCTTCCTAGTTCTTAGCAAGGGTGAGCCTGAGGTAAGGGCAGCCAGATGAGCCTTTACCCACTTAGAGATAACTGAAAAGAAACAGGAGCCCAGAGCAAGATCTAACTCCAAGAGAACCTGGACAGTTTTCTCACCTTTGCCTGTACCTTCATCTGCTATTTTGTTTCCCAGCTCTGTGCCTGTAGGATGTAACAGAAAATCCTAAAATACAGGAAGGCCCATAGCCTTGTTTAATGGGGCAAAGATGTGGGGAAGGACCTGGAAAGACTGAATCAGCCTCCTCAACTAGACTAATGGCAGGAAACTCAGGGAAGTAAGGGCAGGAGAACAGTCACAAAGAAAATGGAGGCAGGTTAGATTCTGATGCAAGTCTGAGAGAAGACAAACTAGAGCTTCAGACACAATATTGCACTGCCCTAGAGGCATAAGGATAAAGCCCTCCCTACCAGTGAATATTTCCATGATCCTATTAGGTTCCTACAGCAACACAGAGGTAGTCAGTGAAAGGATTCGGGCAGCATAGAGAGCAAACATTTTGAAGTCAGACGGATCTGGGTACAAATCCTGATTCTAACAGTTGCTAGCTATGTGAGTTCAACCAAGTTAGTGAACCCAAGCCCTGGTTTCTTCCCATGTTTCAGAGAATAATAATCGCAACCTATTTTTAATTATAAAGAGGAAATGATCACATGAATTAAGATAAAAGTAGAGCCTAGCTCATGGTGTGCTATGGTCTGAACGTTTGTGTCCCCTTCCCTCTCCAAATTCCTATCCTGGAGCCTAAATCCCCAATGTATTGTTATTTGGAGGTAGAGTCTTTGGGAGGTAATGAAATCATAAGGGTGGAGCCCTCATGAATGGGATTAGTGCCTTTAAAAGGAACCAAAAAGACTAGAGTTCTCTCTGTCATGTGAGGATACAGCAAGAAGTCAGCAATATGCAATCTGGAAGACAGCTCTTAAAAGAAGCCAACTATTTTGGCACCCTTACCTCAGACTTCCAGCCTCTTGAACTGTGAGTAAAAAATTCCGGTTTTTAATAAACCACCTAGTCTATGGTACTTTGTCATAGCAGCCAACACTGACCAAGACATAGTATGTGGGAGAAAATTGTTCCTTTTTGTTGACATTCAAAGAGCATAAGACTCCCAATCAGAAAACCAAGGTCACGCTCCTAGGAACTTTACACATTTTCTGTCCTTAGGCCTTGGTTTTCTTAGCTGGGAAAATAGGGTGTTAGAAGACTTATATTTCAGGGTCTCTCTGGGTCCAAACTTTGTTTCAACTGCCTGTAGTGCAAGTATCATGAATTGGAGAAACAGATAGACTCCCAGCCATCTGTTTTTCCTCCATCCCTGTGAAATGGCAGCCTGGACCAACAATATCAAGATTGAGTAATATTCTGCTGACCTAGTTAGAAAAAGTTAAGAAACTTTTAAATACATATGAATATTATTGAATGAAAAAGAGAAGGCTGATTCAAATGGTTGCAGTGCATATTAATATCTTATTATCCACTTTAATGTAGGAAAGATACTGGAAACCTCTATTTAATCTTCTTAGCAAAATAATTGTCTTTTAATGCCAAGGTATGGTAAATAAGCCAGAAAAAATCAAATGATAGTGCAGGATGAAGTTAAATAATTTAGAAAACAAGAATCCAGAATTCAATAAATTATTCCAATCCAAGATGCTATCAAGAAAAAAAGGTAGAATTCTTAGGTTCCATTTTCTGAAATAATATCTCGGTGGGAAGGCAAATGAGGAACCCGAATATTCCTAGCAGTTTCTCCTTTTAAAAGAGATATAAATTAATAGATTTGACAAACATTTTTTTGAGAACCTACTGAGCATTCATCAGTCATACCTACCTCTTTGTAGCCACAAAGAGGAATAAAATCCCAAACACTTCTCTTGAAGACTTCTCTGGCTAATGGGGGAGACCCACATCCAGGACTGCTATAATGATAGCTTATCTAGCAGTAATGAGTTGGAGCTCGTTCCTTGATAAACTGTAGAATGCCTCTCTCAGCCCCTGTAACCTTCTCCTCAATTCCTATTGACATGTGAACTTACTCTTCTTGGCAAAATAGATGGGTCCATCTGGAAGAATTGATTTATTTAAGACACATACAAATGTCTTTCTGAGAAATAGGTATTAATAAGGTGTATATTACTATTCATGTATATGTTGTGGAATACCTACTGTGTACCAGCACTATGCTAGGCTCTTTGCTAGTCACTCATTTAATTTTCCTAACAATTCCTAACAATTATGAACAATTCCAAATTACAAATGAGGCAACTGGGGATCAAAGAGTTTAATGAACTTGTCCAGAGATAAATGTTGAAAACAGTGCAAGCAGCACTAAAAATCAAGTCCTTCTTAAATAAAAGCCCTTGGTCTTTTCATTAAGCCATATTGAAAGCATAGTAAAAGGGTTACAACATTGAAATGGAGAATCTATGTTGACCATGGACCTGAGTCAACAAGAGAAAAGCTCTGCCTACTTACCTGGTCATCCTTACTTTTAACTTAGGAATGGAGAAGGGCTCAGGCCATCTTGGGAGCAGGAAGGTATGCTGAGAGTATGTTCTACCTTGAGGCCTGGAGGCCCCATGAAATCAGGACAAGGTTTAGATGAAAAAAGCCAAGACTGTGTCAAGGTTCAGGTCTGGGCCAGCAACTAATGAGGCAGGCTCAGTTAGTATGGGTATCTTTAAGGTCCTAGAATCAGGGGGTACTGGAGATCCAGCAGCTCATTCAGGCTTTGGTATTATCCAGCTGTGTGAATTGAGTGAGTCCCTTGCCCTCAATTTCAATTTCTAAAATTGGAATAGGCCCAAGAGTAAGTTGGGCCAAATGATTTATTCAGATCTCCTATCTCCAAAATACTATGATTTTAAGATTTCAAATATGGACTTTACCAATAAAAGCCACAATAATCATTATTTGTTGAGCACTCTTAATATGACAGCACTCTACTATATTAACTCTAATTGCAACCTCATGACAACATTGCAAAGTTGTATTTATTATCCTTGTTTAGAAGGTGAGAAGCCCTGGAATCCAAAAGGTCAGCTACAGGTAACTTATCCATCGCCATTAACTTTTCACATATAATTTATTCATAGCCACCAATATTATAAATGGCAGAATCCCAAACTGTCTAACATCTAAAACTGTACCCTTCTTATGTATGCCTTCTTCCTTTGCCTACCTCTGCCCTCTAATTAAAACATGTGAGGACATTACCTCAATGATTTTTCAATGGCATCAGGTTTTCTTAATAGCTTTAATCTGAAAGAAGTGTCCTGAGAAACTAAGTTCAGTCTCCCACTTGCTTAAGCAGGAGGCTGTTGTACCTTTCACTTTGAGAGGTAAATGCTAGTAACTGAGAGCAATTGGCAAGGTATCTGCAGCTGACCAAGATATAGGGTCAATCAAGAAGATGAAGAAAAGTTAATGCTTAGATAATTAATTTTGATAAGTTGAGTTTACTAACAAAAAGAAATTACAGATAATCATAGATAGTGTATCTTCCTTAGTTCCCAGCCCATTTTTCATATGGTTGGCTCAAGATATATATTTAATGGATTAATATGGTTTATCTTTCCTCCTCGCACTCTCAAACATCCTTCTCCACAGACTTCAGCCAATCCTGAACATGACAGGGAGAATCATTTAACTTTCTAGATGTCTTTCCAATCTTTACTCTTTACCACATCTCCAATATGCCATGCTCTCACCCATTATATACCCTGTAAGATAGAGTTCAAACGTTACTTCCCCATAGCAATTCTTTCTGATTCCCCAGCCAGGTTTTCATGTTCCTTTCTCATTCCTCATCAGTCATCTACTCCTTAATTTCTTCTATACAAGTATTTTACTTATTAGTAGGGTAATCTTGGACAAGTTACTTAACCTTTCTGTGCCTCAGTTTCCCCATCTTCAAAGTGGGGAAAATAATAGTACCAGCTTCATAAAGTTGCTGAAGGTTTGACTGAGAAAATAAATAACCTATTATCATGTTTGACATGTAGTAAGCACTCTATAAATGTTAGCTGGTTTAATTTTTATATGACAAATTGTATGCCTTCGGGGAGCTTGGAGTCTAAGGGAGATATGGTATTACAAATGCGTTATATCCAAGAACTTACAAACAATTCAATTTCACTTCTGTTATCCAATATCTACTAGAAGCCTCTTGTCATCACAGAAACCCTTAAGCTAAGTCACAATGTCTAGTTTGCTGGTGACTCTAGAGAGGTTATTTGAGATAGCCAAAATTCAAATCCCCATATGGCTCCAGCCTTGATGATCGTTCTACTTACATTTTAACTAATAGGGGGTTTCTCTGGATATCTATCGGGGTAGAGGGTAGGGTGCTAATGTATGAGGAAAAGAGGCACGAAGAGTTTGAGTAACTGGCCCAAAGTTACACAGTGAATAAGTGGCAGAGTTAAGGTTCTAACCTATGTAGCCCACACTATACTAACTTATGCACCTAATTTCTTTCTTACTGCCTTGAACGTACTCAGTTAATGTTTGCAGAGAGTGGATAAACAAACAAGAAAACCTTGCAAACAGGTCTGGAAGAGGAGTGAGTTGCAGTGGACAGAGGCTAATCTAGAAGTCAGCAGCTGCGTTTCCAACTAAACTTGTCCCACTAATTCGCTGGGTGACTCAGGAAAGTTATCTCCCTTCTCTGGACCCTCTGTCTCCAGCACAGAAAGAGAGAGAGGCCTTTAAACAGTAGCAGTTAAGTCTTTTCTTCAAACTAAGTTTATGGAGAAGGCCAATAAACAGGATGTTCCAGTGTATTTGGCAGAAAGGACAAGAGAAGTCAGAGCCCTCACTCCTCCTCAGGGATATGGGGAGCACAGTTTTAAAACTCTAGAACCAGAAGAACTTGGGATTCTTCTTGGCTATGACATTCTATTACACAGATAAAAGAAATTGCCTTGTGACCTAATGTTATATATCTTCTGATTCAACCAAGTGAAAATGTGGCTTCAGAGGAGGTGACAAAGTGTGACCATACCCAAAGGTAATAAGAAGGAATTACAGCTCCAACAGCCTGACTTCTGCACCTGCCTCAGTCATAGACATGCCCTAAATACAAAAATATCTCACAAACCTGAGAAAATTGCATTCATAGTATAAATATATTTAATGAAAAAATAATAAGTGGGCTGTGGAGTTTCCGGATTTATTATTTTCATAACCATCTTTGCTTTCTGTAATCTCTAGACTGATTAATAAAATCTTGCTAAAAGAGGTTCATATTTGGCATTTGCTCAGAGAATGGGAGTTTTTTCAACTTTATTGAAGCATTTTTTACATGTAATATGTCATCTATTTCAAGTGTGCAATTTAATGATTTTTAGTAAATTTACCAAGTGTGCCTCTACTACCACAAATCAGTTTTAGGACATTGTCATTGCCCCCATAAGATCTGGCTTGGGATGGTTTTGTATATTTATATCTATATGAGATTCTTGGAAAAACTCAGGTTCAAAAGAAATAGATTGCATAAAAATTGAGCTCTAGTTTACATAGTCTAATATCCTACCATTTTCCTGTATGTACAGAGTCCACTGCCCTAGAAGAAGAAAGGGAGAAAGTTGTCTCAGCTCTTGTTTGTTCTTTCAAGGCATTTAAAATAATATACATTACATTAAATTTATTGAGCTTTCCCACTGTCGGGCCAAAAAAGAACTCTGAAAGCAAATCAGGCACAGTTACTAAGCTCAAGGAGCAACCAATTTAGAAAAAGAAATTTGATATACACAACAGAGTCATAAAATAGGGCAGGAAATACCAGGAGTCTACAGAAAGTAAGAGAAATTGCTGATGAGTTCACTTATAGCTGAGGGGAATCAAGGATAATTTTTAGAGAAAGGGCATTTGCACTGGGCCAAATTTCATCTAATTCTGTCATTTACTGATGCAGTTAGTCAATATACAGTCACTGAGAACCACTTTAGAATTCACATCTGTGCTTGAATTAGGCATGGTCCCTGTCCTCACACAATGCACAGTCAAACATAATGACTTTATTTCAGCAGCTCACCAGATATCCTGAATATTTCTATTATGAACTTAAATGGTGCAGAATTTTTGTTTGTTCTTGCATTTCTCTTCCCTATTTGATTATGAGCTCATAAAAATAAGAACCACTTCTGAAGCACATCTATGTCCTTGGTTCCCAGTATTTCCTATCTCATTACATGTGATTCATAAATATTTGTTTAATGAATAATTTGTTCATTTAATTTTTCCCCTTTATATCAACTGATGGTTCACTTACTGGTTTTGGGGGAGGGGACAGTAAAGGGGAGAAGGCAAATTATTTAATTCCAATAAAATTGATTGTGTTTTCTTGTATTTGTAATGAGGGCCCAACAGAGGACTTAAGTCAAAAGAGTCAATGAAATAGGCTGTGTATAAAGAGGCTTTTTACAGCAGAGATTAACTTTCAGAATGGTGGTAGAAGGAGCACAGCATACCTTCTTCCCAGCAAAACAACCGTTTAACTGCTAATTTTTTTTTCTTTTTTGAGACGGAGTTTCACTCTTGTTGCCCATGCTGGAGTGCAATGGCGTGATCTCGGCTCACTACAACCTCCGCCTCCCAGGTTCAAGCGATTCTCCTGCCTAAGCTTCCCGAGTAGCTGAGATTACAGGTGTGTGCCATGACACACAGCTAATTTTTTTGTATTATTAGTAGAGACGGAGTTTCACTATGTTGGCCAGGCTAGTCTCAAACTCCTGACCTCAGGTGATCCACCTGCCTCAGCCCCTCAAAGTACTGGGATTATAGGCATGAGCCACCGTGCCCAGCCTAAAAATTATTTTTAAAAACAATCATTTGAAGTCATTTAAAGCCATTTGAACCATGACCTGCTCAAATTCCCACCCTCTAACTCAGTGGGATGGAAGCTGTACTCCAAGAGTATGCCATCAAGAATATTAGTTCCCTCTCTACCTACTTCCTAGTCTATAGCTATGATTTCACCTTGGGAGGGGCAGGCCACAAGCACCTCTCACATAGCCCCCATCCCCATTCTATATTGAAGAAGCTCTATTCAAGGTGGATGCTGCTAAGAAATAAGTCTTCCTTCCCCCACCAGACCTTACTCATAGAATGAAAACTCTAAACCAGGCATGGTAGACCAAGAGTATTAGAAGCCAAATGCCCTCGGCCCAGCTAATTTGCAGGACAGAGGTTTCAGGCCAAGATGGGCAAGACAAGAAGACCAGGGGCTACTGTCCCTACCCAGAGCCTAGCTCATAGAGCAGGGGTGACACTCTAGGAGAAGTGGGCACTGTCCCTGCCCCCAGTTCTAGGGCAGTGGCATAGAGGTTCTGTTCAGGGAGAATGGCAAGCAATAAGAACAAATAACTCCACAACACTGCATAAGGGGATTGAGTTCATTTGGAACAGCTTGTAGTGAAATTTATGCCAAAGGGTAATGTCAAAAACAACAGAGATCCTAGTGTGGCAAGCAAATAAAAGGAAGCTGGTCACTACATGAGATTTATAGCAACAAGTAAAACAACAGACTAGCTAGAAGGTTAGAATAAAGAATTAGGGAGGAAAGATAGCTAAGAAGGACACTTCAGGGGGCAGAGCAGCCTGAAAGACTAGCAATACCTTGCCCCTGCAAAAGGGGTCTATATTAACTGGATCAGACTGTGAAACAATTATTGCCCCTAGAGAAAACAGAACAATCAGCTAGCGATTAATACAGGGTAATAGCTTGATGTGATACCAATAGAGGAAGACCAGCCCAGATGCTCAAGTATGCCCAAGGCAGTTAATGAAAAATAATTATACATCCAATAAGTTCACCAAACTTGAAGTAGGATAAACTCATGGAGATCCACAATCAGGCACATCATAGTCAAAATGATGAAAGCTTAGCACAAAGAGAATATATTGAAACCAGCAAGAGAAAAGTGATTCATCACCTACTAGGGAATTCCAATAAGATTAATAGCTGACTTGTCAGCAGAAACAATAGAGGGCTGAAGAAAGTGAGATGACGTATTCAAAGTGCTGAAAGAACAAATCTGTCAATATGATTCCATCAGGCCAGGACTACTTTGATACCCAAACTAGACAAAGACATTGCCAAAGAAAACCCCTGAATATCAATATCTCTTGTGAATATAAACACAAAAATCCTCAACAAAATCCTACCTGACTGAATCCAGCAACATATAAAAAGGATTATGTACTGTGACCAAATGGGATTTATCCCATGAATGCAAGGTTGGTTTAATATCTGAAAATCAATCAACATAATATACAATTTTAATAAAATAAAGGACAATAACCACATGATCATTTCAATAGACACAGAAAAATCATTTGATACAATCCAACACCCTTTCATGATAAAAATACTCAACAAACTAGAAGAAGAAGAAAACTTACTCAACATGATAAAGGGCATCTATAAAAAGCTCCAAAGCTAATGTCATATTTAATGGTGAAAGACTGGATGCTTTACCTCTAAGATAAGGAACAAGGCAAAGAAGTCTGCTCTTGCCACTTCTATTTAACATTCAACTAAACTATCCATAATGGCCCAGGTAATTAGGTGAGAAAAGAAACAGAAGAATGAAATAAAAGGAAGAAGTAAAAATATATCTACTTGCAGATGATATGATCTTGTGTTTTAATCTTAAGGAATCTAATAAAAAACAATTAGAAATAATAAATGGGTTCAGAAAGGTTGCAGAATGAAAATGCAAAGCTAAATTTGTATTTAAGTCCAAAACAAAATTAAGAAAACAAGCTTATTTACAATAGCCTCAAAAGGATAAAATATGTAGAAATGAATTTAACAAAATAAGTACAAACCTTGCTTATACTGAAATCTATAAAATATTTTTGAAAGACATTAAAGAAGATCTAAATAAAAACATCCCACATTCATGCATCAGAAAATTAAATATTGTTGATATGGCAATATTCTCCACACTAATTTACAGGTTCAGTGCAATAACTATCAAAATCTCATCTGGCTTTTTTGTAGAAATTGATAAGGTGATCCTAAAATTCACATAAAAATGCATGGCACCATGTATAGCCAAAACAATCTTGAAGAAGAAAAAGTTGGAGAGCTGACATTTAATGATTTCAAAACTTACTACAAAGGTACAGTAATGAAGACAGTATTGTACTGGCACAAGGATAGACATATAGATCAATAGAATGTAACTGAAAGTCCAGAAATAAACTCTTACATGTATAGTCAACTGATTTTTGACAAGGGTACCAAGACAATAAAGTGGGGGAAAGAACAATTTTTTCAATAAATAGTTATGGGACAGGCATAAATTGGAACATTTTCTTACACCATCTGCTAAAACTAACTTAAAATGAATCATAAACATCAATGGAAGAGCGAAAATTATAAAGCTCTTAGAAGAAAACATAGGAGTAAATCTTTGTGACCTTTGGCCAGGCAATTGCTTTTTAGATACATGCTATGGACTGAATATTTGTGTCCTCTCAAAATTTGTATGCTGAAATCCTAATCCCCAATGTGATGCTATTAGGAGGTGGGGCCTTTGAGAGGTAATTAGGTCACTGTGGGTGGAACCTTCACGAATGGGTTTAATGCTCTTATGAAAACACACTAGAGACCACGATTTCTCTGTCTCTGCTCTCTGCCATGTGGATATAACAAGACAGCCGACTGAAAACCAGGAAGTGGGCCCTCAACAGACACTGGATCTGCCAGCAACTTGATTTTGGACTTTTAGCCTCCAAAAGTGTGAGAAATACATTTCTGTTGTTTAAGCCAGGGGTCCCCAACCAGGATACTGGTCCCTGGTATGTTAGGAACCAGGTCACAGAGCAGGAGGTGAGTGGCAGGCCAGAGAGCATTACCAGCTGACCTCTGTCTCCTGTCAGATCAGTGGTGGCATTAGATTCTCAAAGGAGTGCGAACCCTATTGTGAACTGTGAAAGGAAGGGATCTAGGTTGTGTGCTCCTTATGAGGATCTAACTAATGCCTGATAATATGAGGTAGAAGTTTCATCCCGAAACCACCCCCACCATGCTGGTCAGTGGAAAATGTCTCTTCCACAAAACTAGTCCCTGGTGCCAAAAAGGTTGGGGACCGTTGGTTTAAGCCACCTAGTCTATGGTATTTTTGTTTTAGCAGCCCTGATTAAGTAGAGGCAAAAAAAAAAAAAAAAAGGAAAAAAAGAAAAAAAATGGATCAATCGGACTTCATCAAAATTTAAAAATTTTATGCTATAAATGATACCATCAAGAAAGTGAAAAGAGGCTGAGTGACGGAGTGTGAATGGAGAAAGGGAAGATGTTGGTCAAAGGGTACAAAGTTTCAGTTAGATAGCAGAAATAAATCTTGGTGGTCTGTTGCATAGCATGGTGATAATAGTTAATAAAAATGTATTACATATTTCAAATTGCTAAAAGAGTAGATTTTCTGTTTCTTTGTCTTTTGAAACAGTTTCACTTTGTCACCCAGGCTGGAGTGCAGTGCAGCAATGACACCTCACTACAGCCTTGACCTCCCAGGCTCAAGCAATTCTCCTGCCTCAGCCCTCCAAGTAGCTGGGACTACAGGTACACAACACCGTGCCTGGCTAAATTTTGTATTTTTTGTAGAGATGGGATTTTGCCATGTTTTAAATGTTCTCACCACCAAGAAGGGTAGATTTTAAATGTTCTCACCACAAAGAAATGATAACTATGTGAGGTGATGGATATGCAAAATAGCCTGATTTGATCATTGTATCTCATAAATATATACAATTACTATTTGTCAATTAAAAATAAAAAGAGAACGTGAAAAGACAACCTACAAGATGGGAGAACATATTTGTAAACCATATATCTGAAAAGGGACTGGGATCCAGAATATACGAATAACTCCTACAATTCAATAATAAAAACACAAAAAATAATCTCAGTTTAAGAATGGGCAAAGGATCTGAATAGCCTTTCTTCAAAAAAAGATATATAGATGGCCAATAAGCACACAAAAAGATACTCAACATCATTAGTCATAAGGGGGAAAAGGAAGTTCTCTGGCAGTGGTGTAGAGGTTAGATTTCATAGGAGAGACTAGAGACAGAGCATCAGTTCCTTCTATAAAGACCCATCTGACATCATACAATCCTTACGCATAGAGCAGTATATAAGACAGATATGGTCCTTGTCCTCATGGAGTTTAAAAATCTTCTAAAGAAAAATGTTGAATGAGTAGTCAGAAGAGTGATAAGTCTGTTAAAAGAGAAATAGAATATATTACAGAAGTACACAACAAAGGCTCTTCAACTAGTCTGAGAAAGGGTACAAGAAAGAATTCCATGAAGAAAAAAATGTTTACATTGGCTTCTGCAAGCAGAATAGGAAGTAATTAGGCAAATGGCAATAGAGAAAGAACATTCCAGGTAGATGGGCCAATGTGTATACAAGTTAGGGAGAAAATCCATGGTCACAGAAAGAACTGTAAGAAGGCCAGTGTGGGTAGACCATAGGCAGCAAGGGAAGTGGGATAGAGATAGGTTGAAGAATCAGGCAGAGACCAGATGATCCAGGACCTTGCAGACCATGTTAAGAATTTGATATTTCATCATATACTACAGAGTGGATGTTCAATGGGTTATTTTCATGGATAGCGAAATCATTGAATATGGTAGCAGTGGTGTAGTAGAAAAGACAAGTATGGATCAAACTCCTCCATGATTCATAGAAATGTCCAAGATGTCAGTAGAAGAGAATGACAAGGAGTGGCAGGGGGTTGTATAGGCTGATGCCATAAAATTCAAAACATGTCTTTTCATATAATCTCTTTTTATAAGGGAGGGGAAATAATGATCTCAAAGCAGCAATCTTCCAACCTAGCTGAGGTGGTGTTCAGTGAAGAGGTTACACTGTATTTGGTCAGGCATCACAGGATCAGTGAAGAGGTGGCACATGGTTAGGAGAACTGGGACATTCTGGTAGCCATTGCAATGCTGAGATATCTGTGTGAGCAGGATAGTGAGCCTGGAAACCTGTTCACCTCATATGTTGTAACCCTTGGCTAAAGAAGCTGTTGTGATTTCCTGGGACATGCTGATAGTTTGAAGTATGGCTATGGCAGCAGAGATGAGGAAGGGACAGATTCTATGGATACTGAGTTGTAGCCTTGATCATACTTGGTGGTAGTATATGAGAATAACTTAAAAGAAGAAGTTAAATAGGACAACTTTCTCATGGGCAGCTGGAGTGATGGCGATGCATTCTCTGAACTAGGGAACCCAGGAATGCAGCAGGTGTGTGGTAGTCTCGGTTGGCTTCTATAGCTTCAGGTAAATCAGACATATGCCTCCTTTATCTAGCAGAGGGAGGACCCAGGGTCACAATTCCCAGCACCTTTGTTCCCAGGCCCTTATTCATCCAGGGTTAAGGTTTGGAATGGATGGGTCTTTTGAATCAGCAGGGTGAACTGGAAGACCCTCAGCTAGATACTGAGATGACATATCTGCCTCCAATTAAGTTGGACTCCTTTTGAAGGCAGTAACAAAAATTATGCCAAGAGAATGGTGACTTGTGAAGTGGCCTGCTGGAAGGGAGCCAAAACCACTACACTTGTTTAATTTAGAGTGTCTGATCAGGACATGGTTTGGTGCAGATGGGAGCCCACGGAACTCTACTGAGAGGTGGATTAGGGGCTGATAATTGATATTACTAACTTCCAAAAATTATTCAATTTAAAATTCATCCAAAAAGATGTAATTACTTTTCATATGTTTGCTTGGTCATGTATCCAGTTGCAACTATATCAAGGCGGAAAAAGAAGAAAGCGGGAAGGAACAGAAAGAACAGAAGGAGACTAGCTTATTTTGAAGTTACCGTGCTGGTCAGAACTGTGCTGGCCCTCTCCACCCTGTTTTCTGTGGAATTGCCTTCTGCTCCTTGACTTTCCTGCCCACAAGGTCATCAGTCCTCTCTCACCTCCTTTCCGACATCCTTGCTTTTCCACAAGAGTCACACAAGGACTGTAGTAGAATCTGCCAAACTCTGTATCTTCAACTCTTCCAGATATCTTTACATTTGCTCAATCTGCTCCTCTTCCTCCTTATCCTGGCTCTCTGGCTTTCTGTGATTATATCATGTTCTCCATTCTCTTTCCTCTGGTTTCATGATTCAGCTTCCTTTTTCCTTTTCTTTTTTTTTTTTTTTACTTCTCAGATTTTTAGTTTGGTTTGGATTCTGAAGATCTTTCAAGACAGGGCTTTCAGAATCTTCCCTATGCTACCTAACCATTCTCACTGTGACTTCAGGTAAAAGGCATCCTAGTCCCACCCTACCCCTGATCTGGGAGCCAAAAGATTGCAGAACTGGGCCAATCCCATGACAAGGGGTTGGAGTTCCAGTGTTGATTCCTATCACCCAGGGGCCTTATTGTAGAGTCCTACCTAACATGATCCTTCCCCAGCAAGCACTCCTTTATCTAAATTTTGCCCTTTGCCATCTGGTTCTTTCTCATTCATCATACCATTAAACTAACCATCAGACAAAATGTTGTACGTGATCCTTATGGACAAGATGGAGAAATGGGGACAGGGATTATATCTTGTTTATTTCTAAATCTCTCATAGTACACAACACATAAGAGATACTAAAAATTTGAACTAAAATGAATTTGATTGGATTAATTTGGAGGAAAGTAAAATCTTGTTTCACATACATGACTTATATTACTGGGGTTAGCAGCATAACCAAACCCAGAGATTGATATAAAACTGATGTAAAAATGCCAATCTAGGGTGAAGTCTCCAGTAATATGCCTAGGTCTCTGTTCTTAGCCTCAGGTCTTGTCCTGTTAAACACTTGCATTCCTGACTTAAATTAATACTTTAAAAGTATTGATATGGTTTGGCTCTGTGTCCCTACCCAACTCTCACCTGGAATTGTAGTTCCCATAATCCCCATGTGTTGTGGGAGGGACCCAGTAGGAGGTAGTTTAATCATGGGGGTGGCTACCCTTATGCTGTTCTCCTGATAGAGAGTGAGTTCTTACGAGGTGTGATGGTTTTATAAGGGGCTTTCCCTCCTTTTGCTGAGCACTTCTCCTTGCTGACACCATGTGAAGAAGGATGTGCTTCCCCTTCTACCATGACTGTAAGTTTCCTGAGGCCTACCAGTCATGCTGAAGTGTGAGTCAATTAAACCTCTTTCCCTTATAAATTACCCAGTCTTGGGTATGTCTTTATTATCAGCGTGAAAATGGGCTAATACAAGTATGTACGCTAAAATTTCTGAGTGAAATTACTAAGCCTGTAGATAAGAGTATCCAAGAATCAAAATTATTACAACAGACTGGAATAAAGGACTAAAATCAACAAGTTGTATTGTATCAGGGTAAGTGTAGAGGCTTTATTTTAAAATCTACCATAAGCTAATATGGTATTCTGAAGAATCCTGGAATAGAAAAATATTAGTGGAAAAACTGGTGAAATCTGAATACAGTTCTGTGTTTTAGTTACTAGTAATGAACCAATGTTAATTTCTTACTTTGGACACATCCTCCATGATTGTGTAAGATATTAACATTAGAGGAAACTGGGTGAAGGTGTTACCAGTGGAAGGTATCCAAGTCACGCAGGTCTACTGCAACCTCAATTCTTGCCTCCTCAGAAGAAAGAATTTGATTGAGGGGCATAAGGCAGAAGGAGAGACCAAGGCCAGATTTAGAGAATGAAAGTTTATTAAAAAGTTTTAGAGCAGGAATGAAAGGAAGAAAAGAAAGTACACTTGGAGGAGCCAAGAGGGTGACTTGAAAGACAAGTGCATGATTTGGCTTTCTGACTCAGGGTTTTATATGTTGACATACTTCTGGGGTCTTGCATTACTTTTCTCCTGATTCTTCCCTGGTGGGCTGTCTGCATGTGCATGCTTGAGCCCACTCACCCACCTCCTGAGATCTTACTGGAAAGCTGTTGATTACCAGTTTCAGGTGTTTTCTATTAGGAGACTGCCTTTCCCTGGCACCAGCTGTGACCAATTATTACTTTAGAGAGACAATTAACAACAGCCTGACTATCACCTGATTGTCACCTGACACTCCTGGGGTGTGTGTGTGTGTGTGTGTAGGTGGGGAGCTCTCTCCTGCCCTGCTCATGCCTGACTAGCTACCTACTGTTACAAAGGGCATATGAACAATTTCTATATTATCTCTCCAACTTTCTATAAACCTAAACTTATTTCAAAATAAGAGGTTTATGCATGTTGTCACTTACAAATGACCGCTAAACACTGGGGTCTCATGGATATAAAGATGGCAACAATAGAAACTGGGGACTAGTAGATGGGAGGAGGGAGTGGGGCAAGGTTTGAAAAACTAACTATTGGATACTATGCTCAGTACCTGGATGATGCCATCAATTGTACTCCAAACCTCAGCATCATGCAATATACCCAGGGAACAAACCTGCATATGTACCTCCTGAATCTAAAAAAACATTGAAAAAAAAACAGAAATAAATTTAAATCAATTTTTTAAATAAGAGGTTTATTAAAAAGAGAATATCAGATAAATAAAAATATATTTATTTAAAGAACAGCAACAAAAAAATCTACTATAGAGAGGCCTGCCTGCCCAAAGAAGCTAATGTAAATTCTGACTTCATTTCTAGAGATCTAACATCCAGAGCAAGATAAGGCAATAGTCCTATTCTGCTGTACATGCTTAGATTCCCTGTGTAGTTTTATATTCAGTGCTAGCATTTTAAGAAGAAAATAACAACCTAGATCATGTCCAAAGAAGAACAACAAAGAAGGTAAAAAGTTTGACACCATGGAGTATAAAGAAATGTTGAATTCTCTGGGGGTAGGAGAAAAGAGAGATTAGTTTGGAGAAGAGAAGACTCATCAAGGGCATGTAGTCAGTGTCTTGATATGATTGTCTTATTTATTTATTTATTTTAAGACAGAGTCTCCCTCTATTGCCAGGCTGGAAAGCAGTGGCACAATTGTAGCCCAACAAAACCTTGAACTCCTGGGCTCAAGCAATCTCTCTGCCTCAGAGAAGCTGGGTCTACAGGCACACACCACCATGCTCAGCTAATTTTTTTTTTTTTTTTTTGTAGTAATGAGGTCTCCCTATATTGCCCAGGCTGGTCTTGAACTCTTGGCCTCAAGCAATGCTCTCAGTTTTTCAGCCTTGTCTTGGTATCTTTATAGGCCTGACTATGAGCTAAAAGAGCAAGAACTTGCAAGGTAGGCCCAGAGGGTGGGGCTAGAATCAAAGAGAGGAAGTCACAGGGAGGGAGCTCTTTTGAGGATAGTGGGTCTTTCTTGTCACTGGGATGGAGCACGGCTGCTGAAGAGGTGTGTGAGCCGAGACTGAAAAGTGAAGTTTCTCGAACGTTAAAAGAAGATGCACATGTACCCTAAAACTTAAAGTATAATAATAAAAAAAGAAAAAAGAAGATGCTGGTTTTTACAGTTTAGGTCTTTGTCCACAGGAGATGATTAATATATTTGCTAAGTTTGAATGAAATCCCTATAATCTTTGGCAGCTCTAGAGATTCTTTTGAAGTGTTAAGATCAGAGAGGCCAATTTCTTAAGGTTTTCTTATGTCATTCCTATTATTATATATGTAGTCTTCGTGGTTTTCCTCCTGGTACTCTTGGCTAACAAAGATCTTTGCCTGTGGGAAGGAAAGCCAGCTAGACAGCGTCTTCTTATCAGGAAGGTAAGCTGCCACCAGCAGGGGAGGCTTAGAGATGTAAGGGTTAAGGGTCACAATGATCATACTGCCTCTTGCTTGGTTCCTAGCTTCCCTCAGGATACAGTCCAAATTCTTTAATTCGGCATTCAAGGCCCTCCTCACTTGGCTTCTACTTATTTCTCCTGCATCCTCTGTCACCACCCTTCCTATTTTTCTTAGGCTGACCCTGTGCTTTTATCACAAGGAGCCATGCAACACTGTCAGGACACACCATAGCATCTCAGCCTCTTTACACATGTTTGATACTCAAGTAAAGATGCCTCCTTCCTTAAGACTTCGTTCACTCCCTTGTGCCCCTTCTCTGCCCACTACTTGTATTATACCAGATCTTACCTTTTTATTCATTTTTACATCTATGTCACCCATTATATTGTGTACTTTTCAGGGACAGAATGTGTTTTGTGTTAATCTTCTCTCCCCAGCATCCAACATAGAGCCTGGCAGGCAGAAGATGCTCACTAGATATTTGTAGTGTTAAAGAACAGCTTTGCAAGGATTCACTAAATAATTATAAAGTTCACATAGACTTGGCTTCAAACTCCAGTTGCATTATGTAGACAAATTACTTAATCTCATTAAATCTCCATCTTAAAAATGCAAATGGGAGAAGACAATACTTACATATCTCAGAATTTAAGTGCTACCTTCTAAATGAAATCTTACTCCCCAAACTGATCCTCTTTCCTGATTTAATTACTCCAATATTGTCTGTCTCTTCCTACCATAATGTAAGTCTCATGAAGACATGAATCTGTTTTCACTGCTGAATCCTCAGAGTCTAGATAATGCTAGTTACATGGTAGGTATTTAATAATAATAATACTCACATAATATTCTTCTGACCAATCTTGAGGCTATACATATGCACATAGGCAACACAATATGAAAGGGAAAGTAAAGCAGACTTGAAAACTGTCCAAAGTTTGAACATACTTCCCTACTCACACACAGATCCACCAGCAGAAGATAGAAGCCTTACTGGCTTAGGGTGGCTGAACATAACCTCAGCCCAATAGTAGCTTACCTTTAACCTGCATAAACACAGGGTTGATTCCCTGGGAATTAAGGCTTAAAATAGGAAAGAAAAAACAAAACTATATAAAACTCAACAATAAGAAAACAAACAACCCAAATAAAAATGAGCCAAAGACCTTAACAGATACTTTACAAAAGAAGATATACAAATGGAAAATAAGCATATGAGAAGATGCTTTACATCATATGTCACTTGGGAAATGCAAATCGAAACAACAATGAGATACAGTACACACCTATTAGAATGGCCAAAATCAAGAACACTGACAACACTACATGCTGGCAAGGATGTGGAGCACAGGTACTCGCATTCATTGCTAACTGGGAATGTAAAATGGTACAGCCACTTTGGAAGACAGTTTGGTGATTTCTTACAAAACTAAGCCTACTCTTACCATACAATCCAGCAACTGGACTCCTTGGAATTTACCCAAAGGAGCTGAAAATGTATGCCCACATGAAAACCTGAATGCTGATGTTTACAGCAGCTTTATCATAACTGCCAAAACCTAAAAGCAACTAAGATATCCTTCAATAGGTAGATAAGTAAACTGTATTATATCCAGACAATGGACTCTTATTCAGTGCTAAAAAATGAGCTATCATGTCATGAAAAGATATGGAGTAAACTTAAGTGCATGTCACGAAGCGAAAGAAGCCAATCTGAAAAGGCTATACAAATTTCAACTATATGGCATTCTAGAAAAGACAAAACTATGGGGACATTAAAAAGATCAGTGGTTGACAGGGGTTATGGGAAGGGAAGGATGAATAGGTGAGGTACAGATGATTTTTGGAACAATGAAACTAATCTGTATATATTAAAATGGTGGACACAGGCCATTATAAATTTGTCCACACCCATAGAATGTACAACACCCAGAGTGAACTCTAAGGTAAATGATGGAATCTGGGTGTTAATGATGTGTCAACGTAAGTTCATCAATTGTAACAAATGTAGCACTCTGGTGAAAGATTGTTAATAACAGGAGAGGCTATGCATGTGTAGGGGAAGGAAGTATATTGAGAAATTTCTGTACCTTCCTCTCAATTTTGCTGTGAAACTAAAACCGTTCTAAAAAAGAAAAGAGTATATTAAAAACAAACAAACAACAAACAAACTGAGCAGAGGCATCAGAGAAAGTTGCCAAGATAATTCCTGAGTAAAGATTAGTCTTTTCAACAAGCGGTGCTGGAAAAATTTGTTATCATGTGCAAATAAATGAACTTCGGCCCTTACTTTATTCCACATAAAAAACTAACTCACAATGAACTATACACTTAAATGTAGGCTACATATATAAATATTTCAGAAGAATAACATAAAAGCAAATCATTGTGGCCTTCTGTTAGACAAGAGTTCTTAGATATGAGAAGATGCTCCACAGCATATGTCTTCTGGAAATTAAAACTGAAACAACAATGAAATACAATTACACACTTATTAGATTGGCCAAAATCAAAAACACTGACAACACTAAATGCTGGCAAGGATTTGGTGCACAGGTACTGCCATTCATAATAGCACCAAAAGCATAATCCATTAAAAATTTGATAAATTGGACTTCAAATTTAAAGTTTTTATTCTTCAAAAGATAGATTAAGAGAATGAGTGAAAAGACAGGCATGGTTTGGAGGAAAATATTTGCAAAACATATATCTGACAAAAGACTTGTGTTAGAATATATAAAGAACTCTTAAAACTCTTATGAGAACCCAGTTTTAAAAATGGGCAAATGATTTGAACTGACACTTCACCAAAGAAGATTTATGAATGGCAAGTAAGCACATGAGAAAATGATCAATATAATTAGTCATAAGGGCAATACAAATTAAAACCATAAGGAGATATACCCACTAAAAGGCTATAATAAAAATTACAGATAATTCTAAGTGTTGGCTAGCATCTGGGAAAACTGTAACCCTCCTACATGGCTGATAAGGATATAAAATGACACTACTATTTGGAACACAGTTTGACAGTTTATCTTTTAAAAGTTGAACAATAACATATTTCCTAATGATTTCACTCCAAGAAAAATGTATTCATATGTCCACTCAAAGATAAGTACATGAATGATCATAGCAGCATTATTCATAATAAGTCCAAACCGAAATCCATCCAAATGTCCTTGAACTGGAGAATAGGTAAACAAAATGTGGTATACCTTTCAATGGAATACTATTCAGTACTAAAAATGAACTACTGATACATGCTATAATATTTTTGAGGTTCATCCATATTACGGTGCTAAGTGAAAAATGCAAGACGCATAAGATTCTGTTTTGAAATGTTCAGAAATGGCAAATTTATGGTGTCAGCAGATCGGCAGTTACCTGCGACTGGGACTGGAAGTGAGAATTAACAAGGGAACTTTTTGAGATGATGGAAATGTTCTAAAATCAAATTGTGGTAATAGTTACACAACTCTATAAAAATCATAAGGTACTAAAAATCATAAAATTATCCCCTTACAATGCATAAATTTTATACACTGCAAATTATACCTCAATAAAGCTATTAAAACAATAGTAAAAATATCTTTCTCATGATGTCCTTATCTTAAATGGCAGATCACGGTTTTAAATACATGTTCAAAGGGGTTTTGTTCAGTAGGTTTAAAAGGGGCTACTGGTAACAAAATAAAATGCATTCTTGGATGATATAATTAGTACCAGTAACAACTATGGCCATAGTGATTGATAGTTCTAGCACTAAAAATTCAAAATCTTCCTTCCTGCCTGCTCTCCCTGAGATCTAGATGCTGGCATGTTTAGCCTTCCCACTTGTAATTATCCTCCCTTCGAATTGGAATAAGGATTAACTAATTATACTGATGCCTTCAGACACAAGCCATATCAAATACCCTGGTAACTGAGAATCAACTTGTCTGCAAAAGTATGCCAGAAAGCCTTAAAATCTCTAGTACCTTCATCAAGGTCCAGAACAGAGGATTGAGCCAACCCACAGAGCTTCCCTGATCTAGTCCAGATGGCACAGGTACACCCTGTACTTCCATTAAATTTACTTTCTTAAAATGCTGCTTTGGATAAGGTAAATCCCTTTCTCAAAAATCTTTTTGGGTGTTAAACTGTCCATCAAAGGGCCAGGACATGGTGTTAGAAACCATGGTTTTAAATCTTGGCCCTGATATGAACTAGTCATGTGGTCTTAACGAAGAAACTTATTTTTTATCCTCAGATTATTTACCCCCAAACTGGGACAGTTCTGCCTACTCTACAAAACTATTGTGAGAAAAAAACCAAATAGTCTATATAAAGTAAGAAACCCGGTATGTGTGTTGTGTTGAATCTGAATAAAGGATGCAGCCAATATGAAAATCAGGGCTTTCCAGAGTTTTGCCCGAATCTTCTTGTCTAGCCTAATCTTCCAGTAGCCCCATGAATTTCCTATTCCAATCACACCAGACTTCTAACCAACTACCACCATCAGGCAATGGCTCTGGCTTTTCTTGCTTTCTGGGCTACCTTATTATCAACTCTGTATTCTGTAATCCCACCCATCTTTCAAGATGGCTTAAAAGCAAAATCTTAGCTTTTAAAGACATTCTCCATGATGTTTATTTTTATTATTAACTTCTTAAAAAACTCATTCTATCCTTAATTATATATGTTTTAAAGTATCAGAGCTATTTTGAGATGTCCTTTTTCCCCTGGTACAGAATATACTTCTGGAAGTATATCAAGACTTGTATATATACCTTGTATATATACAAGTACACAGTGCCTCTCACAGGCTCTGAAGTAGGACAGGAGTTTCAAACTATTACTTTTTCCAACTGAGGAATTCCTCGAGGATAATTTGAAAACTTTTATTCAAGTCTAATTTTCTGACTTTATAGGTGAAAAAAATTATCCCCAGAAAGGGAACATAGAATTCAAGGTAATACAAGTAGTTTCATGTTAGAGCTGAAAGCAGAATTCAGATATCCTGTGGCAGCGACTTTAAGCTGTCCCTCAATATCAATTCTCCCACATAGTTAGAGGACCACCAATTTTTAGCTAAAACTTGGCTACTCAGAACAAAGACTTCATTTCTTTTCCTTCCTTTAGTTAAATGTGGATGAGTTCTAGTAAATGACAGTGCCACAGAACTGCTTCTTCTTTCTCCACCGTCTCCTTCATCCTGCTGCATGGAATACAGATACGATGGTAGAATTCCATATTGAATCATGAGGTTGAGGGCCACATCCCAAGGATGACAGAGAAGAAAGCTAGAAGAACCTGACTCTTTGAGGCTTTCAAGGAGTAGAGTCATAAAATTAGTTGTGGATTGCCTACATTTAGACTTTTACATTGAAAAGAAATAAACGTCTATCATGTTTAAGTTGTAATTTTATATATGTTATTTTGAATATCTATTATTGAAAGCTTAACTGATCCTATTGTTTTTCTTATTAGCTTTTTATTGTTTTCAGCTCTTCACACTGCTTCCAGACATGTTCTTAATTCATTTTTTCATTGTTTCAATCATTCACTCAATAAACATTCATTGTGCACCTACATTCTGCCTAGTCATAAATCTAAGAGAAGGTTGGGGTGGGCACAGGAGTGAAATGTACAGATCCTGCCTTAAATGTTATGAGTAATGAATGAACTTCCCATTCTCTTAAAAAAGATCGCAATTCATATGTCTGGTAAATATTCATCTCAGAATTTTTCTGACAATTCCTTCTCAAATAAGCTCACTGTTCAGTAATATACTGTTAATTGGACCAGGTGCACTTAATGTATTATATTTGTTCCTCTGCATCCACTCTCCACCTTTCTATATCTTTTTATTTTCCCTGGGAGGATGATCTGTATGAATCACATAAATGGGCTCCTTTGTTCTCTGGATTCTGGTTGTGTTGGCCAATATGGACTCCTAGAAGGAGATCAGATGTAAGTAAGAGAATGAGGTCTGTATATTTATTTTTCTCACCACTCTCTATGGGATTATCTTAGGCTAACTGTGTACCTTAACTGAAGGTCACCAATTCTTTCTGAGATGACCCACTAAATGACTCTCTACTATTGTGTTCTGTTAACCTTCCTTCCCTTTATTCCCTTTGAGCTGTTATTAGCCCTAGAGAATTTCACTGTACTTTGTCATTGCATACATTGCCCACACCTTGTAAATAACCCATTTATTAAACCTTCCTTAAATTATCCTAATTTGAGGCTGCCATCTGTTTCCTGCTAGCATGCTGACTCATATACCATGTATACCAATTATCAATTCAAAATATATAGGCAACAGATACAAATGGGAAGATACCATGAGAAGCACTGTTGGGAAGAAGGTTGGAGTAGAGAAAAGATATTTAGCTATGAAATCATAGTGCACACAGAATCTCAGACTACAAGAATAACATGACCAGATTTGTCTCTCAGTACCTGAGTTGCACATAGGCCCTCTTTACTGCTCTCTTTTTTGAGGTATCCTGGATTTATTTAGAAATGCGTCTCACTTTTATGTGAAACTCACAGTCACTAGGCTGAGTCCATTTAACTAGCAACACATATCAGAACCCCAAGTAAAGTATCTTCTGCCAATTTCACCAGTATCCTCATTTAGAATGTTTAGAGCCTGTCCAATAAGCCTCTTTTAGGGGCACAATCCACACTTTTTGAAGAGTAAAACATAAAACCAAATTAGCACCTGCTTATTCTTTATTAGCAACCAAAGTATTGCTGACAACAAAGAGTAAAACCTATGAATCCACTATGAAGAACAACTTCAGATCCTAGTTTGGGCACAAGAGGAAGAGAGGGAAGTAGGAAGAGGCAGGGTACGGTGGCTCACATCTGTAATCCCAGCACTTTGGGAGGCCGAGGCGGGTGGATCGCCTGAGGTCAGGAGTTTGAGACCAGCCTGGCCAACATGGTGAAACACTGTCTAATAAAAATACAAAAATTAGCTGGGTGTGGTGGCTGTAATCCCAGCTACTCGGGAGGCTGAGGCAGGAGAATTGCTTGAACCTGGGAGGCAGAGGTTGCAGTGAGCTGTGAGCCAAGATCTTGCCACTGCACTCCAGCCTGGGTGACAGAGCAAGACTCCATCTCAAAAAAAAAAAGGAAGTAGGAAGATGTGGTAGGCAAAATGATGCAACACTCCCCAACCCAAGATGTCTAACTCCTAATCCCCAGAACCTGTCACTGTGTTACCTCACATAACAAACGGGACTTCACAGATATGATTAAGATAAAGATCTTGCTATATGGAGATTAACCTGGATTATCTGGGTAAATCCACTGTAAGCACAGGGATCCTTATAAGTGAAAGAGAGCTCATATCAAAGTGATACAGCATGAAAAAGACTCAACCAGCCACTGATAGCTCTCAAGATGGAAGGGAACTACAAACTAAGAAATGCAAGCAGCCTCTAGAAGCTGGAAAAGGCAGGGAAATAAATTCTCCCTTAAAGCCTCCAAAAGAAATGCAGATCTGCTGATACCTTGACTTTAACCTAGTGAGACTCATTTTGTATTTCTAGCCCCTGGAATTATAAGATAATAATTTTGTGTTGTTTTGTACTACCATATTTGTGGTAGTTTGTCACATCAGCAATAGGGAACAATTATGGAATAGGAGACTGAAATCTCTAGACCCAGGAAACTAAACCTGGAGCAGGAAAAAACAGTCAGGAACTGATGGATGACAGAGACAGGGCACATTGTGGCCATCACAACCAAACTGCACACCACTTGCTAACCTGTACTGCAGGCAAGTTTGGTTCACTAAGAAATGTATTCTTCCTATCAGAGGCTCACAGTAATAAAATGCTTTCATACCTTTTGTAACACCTAGCAAAAGTCTCCTTTTCTCTCAGAGGTTTTGGGATTCACTTAAATTTTGTATTTTGCTAGAGAGCTTTATCAGCTTCATTCAGAAAAACAACCATCTGTCTCATATCTTATTCTGTGACTTCCTGGTGCCCACAGTCGCAATAAATCACACAATAAAAACAATACTTTAAAGAATTGTTAAATTAATACTAATTATATAATTGTTTAATTGTAGTTAGTAAATTATTAAAAGTTCTGGAAAGCACCAGTATTCATTATTTGCATTGCATAAAAACCCGTGTTAAGTCCCTATCCCAAGTTTGCCTGTTTCCAAATGAGTAACCCAAACCTGGCACAGGCCTTACCACACTCTGGCCCAGCTGCTCCCGAAAGAAGTAATCCATGTTTCTCTTTTGCAGGCTGTCAAGGTAATGTTGGAAGCGAGTGTATGTATATGGGTAGCAGTAAGCAAACTGGTAAATATCTTCTTCTCGGTCAAAACAAAAGGCAAAGGACATCACATAGTTCTTCCTATGGTCCGGGCAGCGGTAGTAGTAAACATTTTTGGGTGGCAGCCTTTGCCTAAAATATATAAACAAAGAAATTTGGGCATATGAGACATTCGTTCAAGCTTCAAAAGGTAATACATATAAATCAATGCCTGGAGAAAAACTGTAACATCAAGAACCATGGGTGATGGGGCTGGGAGAATGACAACACAAACCACATATTGTTTAAAACAGACCTGAATCTGGCAGCTCTTTGCTCACAATCCAGTGCCACCCTTTCTCAACTGTCTGGAAAATGCAAAGTTAAACAAAAATAGACACATTCTATTCACTTGTTTATCCTTATTTTGAGCACTTAACATATGTGGCATCAAATGCCCAGGCCTTGATGTACAATAATAAATAAGACAAGGAAGATCTCTGTCCTCATGGATAATAGTGGGGAAGCGGTCAGTAAAATATTAAAAATAAGTAGACAATATAATTACAGATTCTAAAAGTGCCTTGAAGGTAAATAAAGACTGTGATGCTATAGAGATATAAATGGGAGAGGCCTACTTTTCCTGGGGAAGTCAAGTTTTTTAAATTATAAGACTAATTAAGAACTTTTAAAATAAACTCATATGCATTGTATATATTCAAGGAAAGGGAAATATTCAACATTTCTCTAAATTATTACTATTATTTTCTACAGAGCATTCCATGAGACTAATTTTCCACAGAAGCACTTTGGGAAATAGTGCTTTAAAATATGCTGTGTGGGCAATTTTGCTAAGCTAAACACTGAGATGCAAACAGGAAACAAAAATGTTGCAGTCATAGTTTCCATAATGTCTTTGCATTTACCCACTTTAAAGAGTTACTCTACCCTCTCATTATTTATGATATCCAACCTCTTCACAATGTTTCCCTGCAGTGAATGTCTCTCATTTCTATCATTTCAAATCCTGCTAATCCTGCAAAACTCATCTAAAACTGTGCCCTTTCCATGATACTAACTACATGGACAATTCCAGGCCAGTTCAGCTCCACATTTTGTGTAACTCTTGCTTTTTTATCAATTGCTTAATAAGTCTTAACCACCAAGGTTGATTTGGAAGATCCTTAAAGGAAGGGATGCTCCTGGGGAGTGCAGATACAGTGGATGAAGGATGTAAGGCTCACCTGTAGTGGCTTGGCATTCAATTGAGAAGCCAAAGACTACAGGGGCATATGAAGACAAATGTGAGGAGGAAGGTTTAGGAGGGGAAATTGAGAAAAACAAGAAGGGTGCTGTCTCCAGGTAGAACAACCTGGAGAAAACTGTTAACAGATAGAACAGAGCATTATAACATACTAGTGTTTGTTGCAGAATCTTGTTTCTACCTTAGTGTCTTTCTGAAGCTAAGTGGCCAGGGTGGGAGGTGTGGCTGTGGGATTCCTTTGGAACAGCAGTGGTTACATGGCATTGATGCCTGTACATACATTTGATTATATTAAATTTAATTAAATATTCTGGTATTTGATTATATTAGAAAAAGTGACTAAAATGATGGGCCATGGGGTCTAAGGTGGGTAAGAATCTGAAAGTGCTGAGGAGAAAGACAGGATGATAGATATGCAGTCTAAGCAACAAAGAAACAGAGCTTTCACATAAAAGTCAGAGGTAGTATCAAAGGTTGTTTAAAGGTGTTTGGCCCACCAATAGAGTCCATTTGCCTCCTACTCCCAAAGCTACTGCCCATAAATACATAAATAACAGTCTTCTTATAATGGAAATATATCTTCAAGACAAATCTTATAGGCACTCCTTCTTCTAACTAGATTGCTACCCTAAATTCTGGAGTTATCAGTGATGAGGTAGAGAAATGATGGCTTGGAAGTTGCATGAGGAGTGAGGAGGAAAATGACCCCTCCTGATCCTTCTGTACATGCAGTATAGAAGAATGAGGATTTCTTGAGAGGGCAATTGGGGTAGTAATGTCCTCCAAGAGGGTCAGGCCTCAGTTCATTGTTTTATTTAGCAAATATTTAAGCATCATAGACTTTTAACCAAGTCTAGTTTGGTTAAAACAAGGGGTAAAGGAAGAAGTGAACTTAAAGACTGAGGATCCAAGTGGGATTATTAACCATGGAGCTGAGTACCAGAGGAAAAAGTGGAAGATGAAGAGGTCTGAAGAGGGAGAGGGAAGGAAGCAGTGAAGAGTCAAGATTAGAGAAAGAACAGACCAGTGCAAGGATGTGGGTATGGAGAGAATACATGATGATCTACATTTGTGATGGTATTGAAGATGCAGTTAAGTGAGGCAGGCTGGTGGCATACACGAGTCCCAGGGTTCCCGATTTGTATTTGGGGAGAATGTCTGTGAAAATGGCCTTGATGTTTCCAGCCAAAGGTCTGTGATAGTCACTTCAGGCTCTGACTTGACGGTCTGAGTTTGAGTCTCTTAGAGCCCTGGATGAGTATGTCTTCATTCACGAGTGGTTCCTACAGTCATAAGGTCTCAGATTATGATGCTGTTTTCAGCTTTTTATTTACCAGTATATCCAACCAGGGTATATGCTTTCAATTCTGTGACCACAGTTTTCTCCTCTTCCAGCCAAGTTCTGCAACTTGACTCTGAGAGCCTGCTGTCTCCACTGAATTTGATTATGTGCTATCAGGAGAATCCATCTACTGCCTGCAGCTGTCGAGCTCCTCTCCTGGGTGAGCCGGGATGCCTAACCTGATTAGCAGACAAAGTAGAGCTAATGGGCTCTAGGGCAATCATTCAGGGAAACTGAGATGCTGTTCAGGGCTTAGATTTTCTAGACTTTCCCAAGGATACAAACAGAAATCTATTTGAGGAGGGCTCAGCAGGCAAAATTCAAGACTTTCAAGTAATGCAAAGAATAAAGCAAAGGGGGCTGAAACTAGGGAGGAAAAAACGTCTCCTTCATTTGGGATGTACTTCTTATTTTTCTCTTATTTTGTTTATTATGTCTCAGACATTGTGTTAAGTGTTTTATATGCATTATGATTTGATCCTCATAATAACCTTATGAGCTAGGGGCTGTTATCCCTTTACATAGATAAAAAAATTTGAAGCCAAGAGAGGAAAAAAAAAAAAGATTCCCTGAGGTCACAAGATCAGTGAGCAGCAGATCCTGTATTAAGCCTAGGCCAGTGTGGCTCAAAAGCCTGTATTCATAATCCCTACAGTATCTTTCCACTCCCCTTTTCCCCTTGCCATCCAACTTACAGCCTTACCTTCTACTTCCAGAAAAACCTGATTTTATAGTACTCTCTTGCTAAAAACCTTTTAAGCAACTTCCTATCCTCACATTTCAGTTTGGCCCACAAGGCTTCCTGTGATGGCCTTGTGATTCCAGCATCATCATCCATTTCACCCTCCTTGAAACCTTTGCTTTGTTTATATTCAACTACTCATAACTCCCTAACACAATTTTGTGCCATACCTTCAATATCTCTATGTTTTGTGCTCGATCTTTCCTCTACCTGGTCTGCCTTCCCCACCATCTTGCATACTTGGTGAATTCCTACTGATAGATGAGGCATATAGTCAATTGTCAACAAAGGTTTAAATATTTCTTAAATGAACAAATCAATGTATAACTGACTACCCTTTAACACAGCTCTTCTCTAAAGCCTTCCCTGACTATTGAGTCTTCCTTATTTTTCTCTACTTTAAAAAATTATATAAAAAGATTTTTATCATCTAGTTTGTCTCTTAACAATGAACAATAAAAGTAAATGGATATTTGGATATTTCTTCAAAGAGTAGGCTTCTTGAAAATATAAACTGTGTTACTTCTTTACCTCTAGTCATGGCATAGAGCGGTCTCAAGCAATACTTATTTATGTAAAAAGCAATGAAAAAAAGGGAAAAAACCTTCTTATCCCAGAATAACATTGGTAGGTATCACAAGAAGGCAGATTCTAGTTCAGTATAAAGTAGAGACTCTTTAACATTCAGCTGAAGAGAAAGTAGAGAGGGCTGCCTTACAGAGAAAATACAAGTATTAGAAGCTTTAGGGGATAAAGATCCTGTACTTGATGTTAGGTTAGACAAGGCAGACTTCTGATTCCATTTAACACAGATAGTCTATGATATCCATGGAAAAATAAAATAATAATAATAATTATTATAGTACTATTTCCTAATATCTATATAGCATGGACCATATGCTAGGCCATTCTAAGTACTTTATAATGTATTTTCTTTATTCCTCTCAACAATCCTCTGAAGTTATTCATATTATATCAATGGTATGGAAATAAAGGTAGAGTCAAGGACCTTTATGCTTATGCAGGTTGTTCACGACTCCCCAGAAGACCCCAGAAAGAAAATGGCACAACACTCGATCCTGCCAGACACCCAGGAAGATTTCAGGTCCTGTAGTGTGTGCTTTCAAGACCTGGGGACTAAAGGCTGATCCAGCTCTTGGAATAAGGCCTTGTCCTGAGTTCAGCATCCTGAGGACATCCACATGAATGAGGGAGGTCTGTAACTCACATCCTCAGATTCAGTCATGCATGACTGAATGTTCTGAGTAAGCACACACACACACGCACTCTCTCATGCATGTACACACTCAACACATTCACGAACATACTCTATTATAACTTCTATCTCATTACATCAGTTTAAACATATTCCTTTCTCCACTATGAGATTGAGCTCTCCTGGATGGCAGGTAGTACATATTGTTCATCTCTAGTTCTCCGGGACCTATACAAAGGCTTATAGATGAAGTGCCAAGAACACTTATGAATGGATAAATGTTTGTGAATAAATAATGTCAGCTCCACTAATATATATATACATTGTACTCTCTCTAGTGAAACTTTAAGTCATGCCCTGAATATATCATATTCTCAAAAACCTCCTTGCCTTTTTAAATGCTATTCCTTGCCTTTTTAAATGCTATTCCTTGCCTTTTTAAATGCTATTCCCATTCTTTTCTACACAGTGCATCTCTGTATAGAGAAGTGAGGCCTAGCTCAAATGATAGTTCCTCTTTGAAGTCTTTGTCAACAACTTCAGGATGAATTAACTGCTCTAAATACTAATTGCAGACACTGCTGTTTTTCTGATTTACCTCAAAATCCTCAGCATTAGTACAATACTTGGCCTTAAAGAGGAGCTCAACGTATTTTGTTAAATGACTAAGTTGACTTATGAGTGAATGAGTGATTCCCCTCCCACCTATCCTCTCTACTTTCTGTTGAGACCTCTCAGCTAAATTCCCAAAGCATCATTTTGGAGGTTACCAGAACATAAGGAAGAAGAGAAGTCCCAGACCTAATGCAGTACATAAGTTTCTCTAAAACAGCAGCATTCTCTGGTCCTCCTCAGGAGCCTTGAAAGACAGGAGCCCTAATTTCCTCTCTAATCAAGCAGAGAAATACAGATGGGAATAAAGGTGTTTCAACCCTAGTAGACACAAGCATTTTTCTTCAAATTAGCAGAAAGGGACATAATAAAAAATCATTCTTTCCAGGTTGTAAGTCTTAAAAAAGGTGTGCAAAACAAGGGGATCACAAAGTCACTCAGATATCCCCAAAGGAAGTAGCAAATTTTAAGCACCTTCTGAATCTCAATAGCTTGCTATCCGTTTGATGCACACTACTGTCTGAATGCTAAGCACATATTCTTCCCACCATTCCAAGGCTGTGCTACCTCAGATTTATCCAACAACGGCAGTTATAGTCTCTTGGTTCTCTTACTTCATCTACTCAGGGGCTGAAAGCAAACTGGCATGTAGTTTCTCAGGCATATTTGAAATTGAGGTAAGATTTCATTCCTTTTCCCTTCGTGAGGGCAGCTGAATCTCTCATTTGTCATCTATGCCAACACATGGCCTTTAGTCTACATTTGGCTGGAACAACCAAGGCTATCACCTAGCTTGAGCCATTTGCCCCCCTCCTTTTCCTCTTTGATGTCTGGCATAGCCAGGGACCTTGGATGGATACCCATTTTCTAAATGCACCCTCCCTAGGCAAACAGGACCTATTCTAATTCCAATCCTATCTTCCACCAAATAATTATAATAGTACTCCTGTCACCAGCACATCTATTCTTATCTCTCTCCGCACTTTGTCACAGCTAATCTCTTGGTGAGTCACAGGGAGAGGGAGAAAGAGTAAGAGAGTGCTCAGATACAGGCAACACATTTTTACACCCAGTGTCTAATCAGATTATCATCTTATCAGGGGCTGATGGGCACTCAGGGTGGGAGGAGAGAGACAGTGCTACATATTGCCAGCTGAATTTTTGATAACAAAAAGACATTGCTCGATTCTTGAATTAACCTTTTTGTCCTACACACTGTATTATTTATTTTTCAGAGTTTATATTATATGTAGGGATTTTTTTTTTTTTTTTTGGTCTGTGCCTTCTGGAGAAGGACACCCACACACTGTGGCAGCAGCTGCTTCTATTAATTCCAAGCCATTAAAAAAATTAAAAATAAACCCAATTACTTAGGCTTGTTTGGAGCTGAGGAATAGCTGAGACTGATTATTCCCCCTGGTCATGGACAGCAACAATATTCCTACCTATGGTGGCTGCTGGCAGAATGCCAATGCAGACAGAAACTCCAGGGACAGGCACCCCATGCAATGAGAGGCTATAAATCACATACTCTATCTTCTCCAATCCAGATTCCTGACAGGCAGCAAGAAGAGAAGACTGAACAAGGAGCTAGGAGTTGGATTCTAGTCCAAGCTCTTGGTATATTCTTCCCCCGTGCCTCTGTATAAAATGTGGTTACTAAAAAGCATCCTGTATCCTTCTTAGGGTTGTTGTGAAACTCTTAGGTGAAAAGGACTGTGTTTTCAAAACTGTCATTTGCTGGGGTATGGGATGGTACATGAGGCAGTATTAGAATTCTGGGTGCTTTGGGATTATTAGGTGGTAGACCATAGCTGAAATGGGTCAGGTTTGCACTGAAGTTTTGTATCCAGATTACTTTGTTGTTACATCATGGGTGGAATAACAATAATCATTCAGGCTGTGAAGTCACTAGACTGGGATCCCCTTGTCACCTTGCATAAAACCTAGCATATAGAGGCAATTGATAAATATTTTGAATGAATGAGTAAATAAGTCAGTCAGTGCTGGGTTTTGAATGAACAGATAGGGCTACGTGCAATTCTAGCTTTGGATGTCTTTTAGAAATGCAGTCATTGTATAGTAGAACTAATGTGGGTTTAGGCTGTAATCGATTTCCATTATTATTAATCAGTCATGTAACCTTGGGCCTGGGTTTCCCAATCTATAAAATGCAAATAGTGTTTAGCTTATAGATTTGTTGTGAAGTTTGGAGATTGGTACCTGACACATACGGGGTGCTTAGTAAATGGTAAATGTGATACTCATCATGCTGTGTGTGATGGATAGTTGGCATCATGCTCTTTCTTGGTTGGGAACAATGAATTCCAAGTTCACACTAAGTGTGCTTAGGGTTTGAAATGGACAGAGCAAGTCAAGGTAGGGGGTCAAGGAAAAAGTGAAAATGGATGGGGTCTTAATTTAAATATATGCTTATTAACTAAAAACAGTGATAACCTGTTTTCTCTTCTTGACCTTTTGCAGACCCAAAGTAACCAATATCCACCTTTCAAGGAATGTGCTGTCTGATAAAACTAAGTGTGTCTGGATACAGGAAGGCAGTTAATACCTTCAGTTTCCAAATGGTGGTGTGAGAAGTATTCAAAGATGTTGTCCCTGCTGGCAGCTTTTTGTACCAGTCAATTGTGCTGTGGCCCATGTTGTAACCTTCAAGATACATGGAGCCTCCAGGTTACTAGTTAGTGGGATCAATAGGAAATGTGGAAAATAATTGGTTAGGAGAATTTGAAATATGCCTGGGAAATAGAGACTAAGCAGTCCTGCTTATAGGGAATAGTCTGAATGCTCTTGACACATTTATGCTAGGGTATAACATAAAATTATGCATTTATTTTCTTGTTTAGTTAAAATTCTTAAAAAAATTTTTTGTCTGTTACCCTTTTATCCGCAATGAGCTCAAAACTACAAAAGTGTATGTTTTAGGAAAGTTAACTATTAAATTTCCATTTCTCATGACACGCAATAATAAATACATAACGTGTATAAAACATTTGTCAGTGTTTATGATCCTGATAGGGATGTACTGATAACATGCCCGCATAAAAATCAGAAGACACAAATCTGCTGAAGAAACATCAACATCTACTTAAATAGTTAATACTTATTTTTGAAAAACTTATGCCAAAATACTACAATTTACACATGTAAAAGCAGAAGCATAGAAGAAATATGATTGAAATTATTCTAGAACAGTCATTTGCTCTAAATGAAAAGCCAGACATCAGAGCTATACTACATATAACTTCTGATGTCTGGCTTATTATTTACATGACTATTTTAAAATAATTTTGATCATTACCAATTCCAAGTTCTCTTGGGTATGAAGTGGTAGCTGTCAATGTCTTTCCTCAATTAGCAGAAGAACTAAAACCAGCAGTTTTATATCAAAGTCAACAGATATATCAAACAAAATAATTTAACTGAATTCCAATATAATTCAATTATTTTCATCCAATTCATGTAACCAAAGTAAAGCTTTTGGAAATTAATTCTATTGAAGCTAAAATACTGTCTTGGTAGTGCTGATACAGCTTATTCATTTTCAAAAGTTAAACATTAAAGAAAAAATTATTTTAGGGCAATATGAATACAATTGGTATTTTTTGAAATTGGTGAAAACAATGTACTTGTTAAATCAGCAAACCTATTTTGGTTTGGTGAAAGCAATATACTTGTTAAATCAACAAACCTATGGAGTAAAATTTATTTTGAATTGGTTTGAGGTGTCTACATAATTCATAATTGCATCCAAACAAGCTTCTATTTTCTATCTTCAAAATAGAAGCCATAGTTGTCAAAATGTACCCAAACAGAACTATACAATTTTTATGTGAAGCTAACATTAAACTATATGTGAAAAAAATGTTTTCATAAAGTTTTAGAAAGCCAGACCACACTTTCTGTCTTTACTGTCTGACATCAATGTGATTTCACAAATTTTGAGTCTTTAATAAAGGCTCAAAATTTTTTTTAATCTACATTGATTTTGTACTTTTTCTTTATTATTGTTAATGAGACTTTTACATTTTGGCTGTCTTTTGTTCAAAATCAATTGGCAATCTTTAATCAAATATTCAATAAATGAAGCACCAAAGTGCTTCAGCTTTTAAAGCTTTTATCAATTTGCAATTATTTAAAATAAAGCTTGCAAACAGGAAGATACGACAGTTGTCTTTACAAAAGCAAGAAAGAAATTGCACAAATTAAATGGTGAAAGCAAAATTGAAATACAAGATTAAATTTTGAAATTCTATGATTTTACCTTGGGATAACAGCTTATTAGTAGAGTCTTTTGATGAAGCTCCTATTTTTAATTGTACATTTATATGTTGTACTACAGTGGAATAAAATTGAGAAGGCCTTCAGTTTTATAATATCTACATTTGATGAACATTTAAAAGAATGAAGAAGCACCTCATTTGATAAATTTTGTTTTATTAAAAAAATCAAAGAAAAATTTCCTGAAGGGAGCAAATAAGGAAGTAACTGTATAAATATTTGGACTGAAATATTTATATATTTCAATACTAAAAGGCTTATTTCTAGGAATGTCCCTTATTTATAAAATGTGCTCTAAGTTTATCAGGCAGGTACCTGAGTACCTACAGAGAAAATGCCTTTTTAATTTAAGTATAGTATGTTCTATAAAGAATAATTAATTGAATGCATCAACAGTTTCAAACTTATTCATCATAATATATAACTCTAAGAAGATTAAAGGCAAAGGCAATGTCATCAAGAACTAAAAATCATGAGAACATATTAGAAAAAATATTCTTCATAAAAATACTAATGACATAGTGTTAGATATAGGTGTAGCTAAGAAACTGAGTAAAGCCTGTGAATGTATGCCAAAAATAATTACTTTGATTTTAAGAAAATAAATATGTTTTTAAACATTTTTGCTTTAATGTACATGAATGCCTATTAATCTTATTTTTAGATTAAATTCTATTTTTAAAACTAGATTTTGAAAATAATTATTTTGTAACTCTACTAACGTAATAAAATCAATTTTGTTTCAAAAAACAGTATTTCAAAAAATATACAATTTTTTTTAGTTCTCCTATTCACTTTCAGTTTGAATGATTAATTATATGGTCATTCTATCCAACTGCCAACCTGATCGCTCCTCTTGGATGTCTCAAAGTTACCTCAAATTTAACCTGATTAAAATTAATCTCCTGACATGCCCCAAATCTGGGCTTCTAAAAGTGCTCCTGTCTCAGTGAATAGCTTCACCATCTACATCCAGGCAATTGTATAAATCAGGAACCTGAGTTAACTTTAACTCTCTTTCACCCTTCAATAAATACTGCCTGTTTTATTTGTCAATACAAAATTAAAAAAATATATTGCCCAAGAGCTTCCCATGTTGGCACTTTTCTAGCTGTTGTAGAAGCAGAAGGGGGAAAAAAAAAAGCAATTCCATGCTTTCAGGGAACTTAAATTCTAATGGGAAAGAGCGATAAACAAACAAATCAATGTATAATATAGTATAAGGTAATGATAAGAATAATGAAAGAAAAAGCAAGATAAGGGGATAGAGGGTAACATAGGGACTTTTAAAATTAGGATGGCCAGGGAGGTAACCATTTAGTAGAACTCAAAGTGAGGAAATAAACTATATATATAATTGGAAAAACTGAGCCAGAGAGAACAGCAAGCATAAAGGTCCAAGGGCAGAAATAAGTTTTTGTGTCTCTAGGAATGGTAAGAATGTCAGTGTGAATAAATAGGAATAAGTGATGAGGAGACTGGCAGAAAATAAGTTAGAAAGTGGGGGAGGGTACTAGATTATAGGGCCTTGTCTTTGGTAAGAGTTTTATCTGGGGATTGGGAGGAGTGAAAGCGAGACCAGTGGGTAGCTATTGTGGCTGTCCAAGCAATGTATAATAATGGGTTAAGTAAAGCAAGAAGCTGTGGAGGGGGTAAAAAGTGAGATTTGGAATCTGTTTCAAAGGTAGTCTATAGGATTTCTTGATGGATTGGATAAGAAAATGTGAAAAAGTAAGAGCAAAGTCAAAAATGGTATCAATTTTTTTTGGCTAGATATCATTTACTGAAATTTTCACATCTCACTAAGGTCTTAAGTTCTCTAAAAGACTTTAAATTTATCTGTCTCCAAAAGATATTTCCAATCTATCTACTTGTCTACTACATTTCCATGTTTTGGCTAGTTTGCTGAAAAAAGTATTCTACTCTGCCAAGCTTCCTTTTTCCTACTCTTCCCCTCTCAGTTCCCTTCTCTGCATAGCCTTTTCAAAGCTTAATTGGGCCAGAGTGGTGGCTCATGCTTGTAAATCCAGCACTTTTGGAGATCAAGGCAGGTGGATCCCTTGAGCTCAGGAATTTGAGATAAGCCTGGGCAACATGGCAAAATCCTGTCTCTACCAAAAGAGAAAAGAAAAGAAAAATATAAAAGTTAGCCAGGTGCGGTGGCACGAACCTATAGTCCCAGCTACTTGTGGGGCTGAGGTGGGATAACCACCTGAGCCAAGGAGGTTCAGGCTGCAGTGAGCCATGATTGTGCCACAGCACTGCAGCCTGGGTAACAATAAAACCCTGTCTCAAAACAAAAAAGAAAAAGAAAAAAAAGCTTAATTGGATCATGTCACTTCCTAGATTAAAATTCACAATTTCCAGTTATGCTGGAACAAAATCCAAACTCTTTAACATGACTTTTTTACTTCCTCAGATGCACCCACTTCATAGTTTTATCTCAAGACCTTTGAACACTTTTCCTTCCATTCATTCCATTCTCCACACTAACTTCTTCCTTTGCCTAGCTGGTTTCTACTCATCTTTTTTGTTTTAGCTGCTGTTAATATCCCTCAGAGCAACTAGATCCTTTCCTCAAAGCATTATCTCAATTTATAATTATGCATGTGTGGTGCTTGTTTGTTTATAGTTTATATTTCCAACTAGGTTGTAATTTGTATGTGGGTAGGGACAGTATCTATTTTTTGCTCACTAGTGAATAATCTAGTATATGATGGTACCTGAAACATGGAATACTCACAATAGATATTTGTTAACTGAATGGAGTGAATGTGTATTGGTGAGGGGATAATGCCAGAGAAGTAAGAAGGCTGACTGTCTGTGCCCTGACATTTCTAGGTCCATGATTGGCTAGAGGGTTTCTTGCAGAGCTGGGTAGGGATGGGTATTGTGGTGGAGGGGCTTCTCCAGGAAGCTGTTCCATGAGTAAGATTTTGCCCAATTTTCACATAGTGCCTCTCAGAGAAAGGATAAAGGATTAATCATTCACGTGAAGGCTTCCTCTTCCTCTACAGTGCAGAATCCTGCAAAATGTAGTATCCTGATTTGTTTCTAGATTGTTCTTCCTTCTCTTTCCAGCCTGATATGGTTTGGCTGTGTCCCCACCCAAATTTCATCTGGAATTGTAGTTCCCATAATCGCCACATGTCATGGGAGAGACCCAGCAGGAGGTAATTGAATCATGGGGGCGGTTACCCCCATGCTGCTGTTCTTGTGATAGTGAGTGAGTTCTCACAAGATCTGATGGTTTTATAAGGGGCTTTTCCCTCTTTGCTCAGCAATCCTCCTTCTTGCCATCATGTGAAGGAGGACATGTTTGCTTCCCCTTCAGCTATGATTTTAAGTTTCCTGCAGCCTTCCCAGTCATGTGGAACTGTGAACCAATTAAACCTCTTTTATAAATTACCCAGTTTTGTGTATTTCTTCATAGCAGCCTGAGAAAGAACTAGTATGGTAAATTAGTATCATAGAGAGTGGGGCACTGCTGTAAAGATACCCCAAATGTGGAACTGGGTAACAGGCAGAGGTTGGAACAGTGTGGAGGGCTCAGAAGAAGACAGGAAAATGTGGGAATGTTTGGAACTTCCTAGAGACTTGTTGAATGGCTTTGGCCAAAATGCCAATAGTGATATTGACAATGAAGTCTAGCCTGAGGTGGTCTCAGATGGAGATGAGGAACTTGTTGGGAACTGGAGTAAAGGCAACTCTTGTTATGCAAAGAGACTGGTGGCATTTTGCCCTGCCCTAGAGATCTGTGGAATTTTGAACTTGAGAGAGATGATTTAGCATATCTGGCAGAAGAAATTTCTGAATGGCAAAGGGTTCAAGAGGAAGAAGAGCAGAAAAGTTTGGAAAATTTGCAGCCTAATGATGCAATAAAAAAAGAAAAACCCATTTTCTGGGGAGAAATTCAAGTCTGCTGCAGAAATTTGCATAAGTAACAAGGAGCCAAATGTTAATCACCAAGAAATGGGGAAAATGTCTCCAAGGCATATCAGAGACCTTCACAGCAGCCCCTCTTATCACAGGCCCAGAGGCCTAGGAGGGAAAAAATGGTTTCATGGCAGGGCCCAGGGACCCCTGCTCTGTGCAGCCTTGGGACATGGTGTCCTGCTCCCAGCTGCTTCAGCTCCAGCCATGGCTAAATGGGGCCAAAGTACAGCTTGGACCATCGCTTCAGAGGGCGCAAGCTCCAAACCTGGGCAGCTTCCATGTGGTGTTGGGCCTATGGGTACACAGAAGTCAAGAATTGGGGTTTGGGAACCTCTGCCTAGATTTCAGAGGAGGTATGGAAATTCCTGGATGTCCAGGCAAAAGTTTGCTACAGGGGCAGAGCCCTCACGGAGAAACTCTGCTAGGGCAGTGTGAAAGGGAAATGTGGGGTTGGAGCCCCTACACAGAGTTCCCACTGGGGCACTGCCTAGTGGAGCTGTGAGAAGAGGGCCACCATCCTCCAGACTCCAGAATGGTACATCCACTGACAGCTTGCACCATGCACCTGGAAAAGTCACAGACAATGCCAGCCTGTTAAAGCAGCCAGGAGGGGGACTGTACCCTGCAAAGCCACAGGGGCTTTGGCAGCTCTAAGGCCACGGGAGCCCACCTCTTGTATCAGCATGACCTGGATGTGAGACATGGAGTCAAAGGAGATCATTTTGGAACTTTAACATTCAGTGACGACCGACCCTATTGGATTTCAGACTTGCATGGGGCCTGTTGGTCAATTTCTCCCATTTGGAAGGGGTATATTTACCCAATGTCTGTACCCCCAGTGTATCTAGGAAGTAACTAACTTGCTTTTGATTTTGCAGGCTCATAGGCAGAAGGGACTTGCCTTGTCTCAGATGACACTTTGTTCCTGGACATTTGGGTTAATGCTGGAATGAGTTAAGACTTTGGGGGGCTGTTGGGAAGGCATGATTATGTTTTGAAATGTGAGAATTTGAGATTTGGGAGAGGCCAAGGGAGGAATAATGTGGTTTGGCTGTGTCTCCACCCAATCTCATCTTTAATTGTACTTCCCATAAGCCCCATATGTTGTGCAAGGGACCCTGTGGTAGGTAATTGAATCATGAGGGTGGTTACCTCCATGCTGCTGTTCTCATGATAGTGAGTGATGGTCTTATAAGGCACTTTTCCTTCTTTGCTCAGCACTTCTCCTTCCTGCCATTATGTGAAGAAGGATGTGTTTGCATCCTCTTCTGCCATGATTGTAAGTTTCCTGATGCCTCCCAGCCATGCGGAACTGTGAGTCAATTAAACCTCTGTCCTTTATAAACTACCCAATATGGGGCAGTTCTTTATGGCAATGTGAGAACATACTAATACACAGCCTCATGAGATAAGAGATTTTAAGCAGGAGTATTCATTGTCACTGAGCCCTAACATGTGAGGAGCCACTGTTAGATTTTTCAGCGTGTAGACATAGACCTAAGCCTGGTTACTAAGAGGGGGTGGGGGAGTGGTGCTGGTTTTTAAGATCTCAACATAATGACCTCCAGCACAAAGTAGTTACAGATTGTCCACCTGCACACACTGAGTGGGGTAATACAGGCTAGGTATAAACAAGGTTGAGTGTGCTTAATAACAGACAAAGAAATACAGGAAAATAGGACAATATAGAGCCCTATCTGATTTATCATCTCCCTGGACCCCTGTCCTCCCTCCACTCCCAATCCCAGCTCAGGGAATGCTTGTTCACTGAACTGAGCCCCCAGTGGAAAGACTGAGGAGTAGATCATGAGAGTAGCTTCAAGTGATCTGGAGTCCAAGAAAGCCAGGAAATGGCCTAAATTCCAGGTTGTCAAATCCAGGGAGCTTAGCCAAAAAGTAATGTGAAAAATGAGTTGGTCCAAAAACTAGGTTTCCAAACTCAGTGGGGGACAGGGGATGAGAGATAATGAGGTTGGAGCCAAGACTGAGTCAGCAGCTGAGGAAGTAGACTGCAAAGGAGAAGAATGAGGAGGGGCAGAAGGCATAAGTAGCCAATGACTTTCAGCTCTCCTGGGGGCGAAAGTACAATCACAGTCTGAAGTGGATGAAGATGTGATCAGAATCAGTGAGGAGGGGAGTAGGATTACTTAGCAGAGATGACATACCATGTTCCAAGCCAGGTCATGCAGAAATTATTCTCTATGATAAAGGAAATCAGGAGTGAGGGCTAACCTACCAGGAATAAAAGGCTGGCATAGATACATGGGGAAGCAGACGAGGATCTTGAGGAGATACCCCTTGAATATCAGTCTCCAGACAGCAGGTGAGGAAGCCAAGCCCAGTCCATTGCTCCATGTGAAAAGTTATAATAATTTGATGACCTGTGGGTGCATAGGGATGGCAGGCTATCAGGTATGAGATCTGGGCTGGAGAGGCAAAGCACTGACTGAAGAACGATATGGCACAGCCCTGGGAATGTCTAATACAGAGAAAGGAAGTCCTACCTAATGGTGCCAGAAGAATTACTGTGGTAGTGTGACCAGCAGGCTGGATTCAGCAACAAGCATCAGATTATCAAGGTCAGAACAAGTAGAGGTTTTGGAACTGAGATTGACACAGAAGTCAGAGGTAAGGGCAAAGCAAAAGCCCACAATACAAGTAGGAGACTAAGTAAGGTCAAGACAGTTGTGATTCTTGGAAAAAAGTCCTGGGGATAGAAGTAGCCTTCATCTTGTTGGCAGAGCCTCTTACTGTCTGTAGGATGGGACTAAGCCCCAGATATATCTAGGATTAAGTCAACCAGTGAGCTGAATTATCAAACCACAGGAGCCTACCAACACTTAACTCTCTAGAGCAGGGGTCCCCAACCCCTGGGGCCACGGACAGGCCACACAGCAGGAGGTGAGCTGTGGGCGAGCAAGCGTTACTGCTTGAGCTCCACTTCCTGTCAGATCAGCGGTGGCATTAGATTCTCATAGGAGTGCAAACCCTATTGTGAACTTTGCATGCAAGGGATCTAGATTGCACTCTCCTTATGAGAATCTAACTAATGCCTGATGATCTGAGGTGAAACAGATTCACCCCAAAACCATCCCCACAGCCCCAACCCCCGTCGATGGAAAAACTGTCTTCCATAAAATGGGTTGCTGGTGCCAAAAAGGCTGGGGACCACTGCTCTAGAGATTCTTCGTAGGTCAAGAGTTACTTATCTTTGGTCTCACTTCCTCTAGGAAATCCTCCTTCCACCTAGATTAGCTATGCCCACTCCTTACCCTGTCTCAGCCCATGATCACTTTAATACCCTATCTAACATGCATCATACTTCATTATGACTTACTATTGCTCTTCTTTGTTCCATTAGAGTAGGTCCATGTTTCTATTTGTACACCATGAATCCCTACTGGCTAATCCAAGTCTGGTACATAGTAATCACTAAGTACATAATTTGAATTCATTGAATTAATGAATGCATGAATGAGAGTGTTAATAAGATAGGCAGAAGCAACAGATACAGTTGAAAAGGAAGGTGGAGGCCATAGGATACAGCATAACACGTAAGCCATGTTGTGGAGTAAAGATTTACCCCTAGAAGAGATGCAGAGGATTTTAATCATGTTCTCAATGACATCTTATACACAAAGGCCATTGGCACCCAAGGTATCACCACTGATACCCAGTTAGGCTATTCCTTCACAGAGTAACTGGTTGAAATGCTGATTCAAAGGAGTCAGCTGTGACATCTTGGCCTTCATCACATGCAAGAATGCCTCTAAATCAATTTCTCAGTGCCCATCATCTCCCTGTGTATGGCATAGCTTCCTTTCTACACTATTGATCTTCACACATTTAAAAATTACGTGAAAAGCTTTCATACTTCAGTAGATTTATTAATCTTAGAAGCTCTGAATTCATGTATTTCACAACTTCCTACTTTTTAGGGTTATTATGTTAATTAAAATAATAACATGGACTCAGTAAAGAGCTTTTGGTAATTGAAATGAGTAAATTAACTCATCTACCAGCCTCCTGAAATTTGGAAATCAGAAGTATAGGAGGCAAGGAATTTTTTTTTCATATAAGAAAAGCATAATTGTTACTTGAAAGACTTTCTTTGCAATCTATTTGGGAAGTCTATTAACCCTTTATGCTGACACATCTGCACACTTTTATAGAGATAGAGAACTTTAAGGATCACCCTGTGCAGTGTCTTTCAACCATTTTTTAGCTACAAAATGCTTTCTTTATAAGAAAGCTAGGAGAGAAGCACAACACGTAAAACCAAATAAACAGGTAAATAGAATTTGGATGGCAAAAAACATGGCAAAGAGGTCGGGGGTTTAGGCTTGATCTGGCTCAATGTTTTTTATTTTATAACTGAAGCCTATAGAGATAAATGATTGGGCTGAAGCCACACTGGAGTTTAGAAGCAGAGCTTAAGAACTGTGCCTCCAATTATATTAGTTTTGTTCATTCATCAAACAAATATTTATCAAGTCCTGTTCTTGATGCTAAAGATAAATTAGTTTATAAAACAAGGTTTCTGTTTTTATGGGCGAGAACAAATATACAAACATATATGGCAGGTGGTGACAAGTGATATGAGGGGAAAAAGACAGCATAAGGGAATAGAAAGTAAAAGAAGGGATGGTAGGTTTGTTACACAGGGTTGTGAAGAAAGGCCCTTCTGATGAGGTAACATTTGAATAAAGTGAAGGAGTAGGCCTGTTGGATTTCTGGAGGAAGACTGTTGCATGCGGAGGGAATAGCAAGTGCCATTGATGTTTCCCTGTTGCTTCTGTTCCTCCAGGACAGAGCATCTGCTAGCTGCCAGGAACTTCATTAGCTCTTTTACATGCATAAAGGTTCAGAGCAGTAGTGAGAAGAGAGATATTAGAGGCTAACAGGTCTGGTTTTGAATCCAGGTTTTGCCAGGCATTTAATTATGCAATGTTGGGCAAGTGACTTATCTTCTTTCACCTTTAATTTTCTGATTTGTAAAATGGGAATGGTAGTATTTTTCTCACATATTTATTCAAAGCATCTAATAATAAAATACAGGTAAAGCTCTTAATATAAACACCAGTAGGCTACAGTTGGTAGCTGTCAGTATTGTCCACTTTTCTTTATATGAACAAAGAATTTAGGTTGTAGTGGACGTTACTAAATTTTGGATGATCCACATCTATTTCCTCTTCTCAATAGCAATTTATTTCCTATGTTTAAATGACTCCTTCTCTGTTGGGTATACTTTGGTGGGGTCACAAGTAAAAGGCCTTGCTGTTCCTTGCCAAAGCACATGCACTATCTAGGCAAATCAGATAGGCTCTCCATGGAATCTGCATCTTTAGCAGAGAGAAAATAATGAAAGACTTTGTGTTCCTTTATATTTTGACCAGATTGTTAGACTTAAGGTCCACTTTTGTGGCTTATTCTCCCTGATACTAAAGCTCTTTGCTTCCTTCTCACCCTCAGGTCTAGGTCTCTACTTCCCATGGATTCCGTGAGTCCTCAATATCCTTCAAATGTATTTCTTTTTTCTAAGTTAAACGAAATAGATTTATATTCTTACAAATTAAAGAAATTGTATCTTAATACTTATACCTAACCAAAATAATTGGAGACAATGAAAAAACCAATATAAGCCATATTTGCCTTTAAATACTTGGAATTACGTTTTAGAACAATAATGTTGAGAAAGAAAAATTTGAATTTCATATATGGTCTTTGTACTCATTTACCTCTCTGAAAAGCAATTTCTCCAACTAAAAAACAAGCAGATTATATTAAACGCATAGCAAAACAAGATTAAACTAACTGATTCTAAAATGATCTTACTAGAAATGACACTTTAGGATTCCCAATCTATAAGGTTACAATTCTAAGAATTTCATTATAATGTTATTAGTTTTATAAGTCATCTTCAAAACTTAAATCAAAGGCCAGGAAGAAAAAAATTTCAGGTCATATTATAACTTCAAATCACACCATGTAGGCAGCTGCCTATTTTACCTCTATGTAGGAGTAACTCAGACATTCAATTGCTTTTTTGGTTGAATAAGAAATAGAATGTGGTAGGAGAGATGTGATGTGTCCACTGAAAGATGTCATTTAATATCACACAGCTAGTCAATGGCAGCTAGACAGGGGCTTCAACTCCAGAGGCTAACACTTAAACAATATACTCTCCTGCCTCTATGGACATACTAAATAATGTGGATGATCACAGGAGACATAGGTGGGGTGATGACAGAAAGAATTAGGGTGATTCCTGAAGAGAGTGGCTTCAAACTGAATTTTGACAGTGGGATAAAATGTAGTTTTATTCAAATGGGAAGAAAGACTTCTCAGACAGAGGGTATAGCTTATGTGAAGGAGCAGAGATGAGAGTGTACACAATGTTTCCAAAGTAACTGAGCACTGCAGCTGAAGCATAGGTTTCATGTGGGAATAATTGGTGAGAAGTCTAAAGAGGAGTCTGAACCAAGCTGCAGGGAATGGAGTGGGATTTGAAGGTCAGACTAATGAATATCATCAAGCAACTGTATTATCCATATGCTCTACTTTCTCCAAAGTAGAACATTGCATCATTGTTCCTGCATTGCTTCTGCATCCTCTGTCTTGCCTAAAATGGCACCAAAGAAAGTTGATCTAGAAAATTATCGAAGCTCCACATAGTGAACTTTTGAGAAGTGTCCGCTAAAATAGAAGAAAAGAGTAAGATTCCTTTTCCAGGCAGGACTATTGAACAGCAGCCAGCTTCTTAACAGAAGCATTCACAACCAGCCCATTCCTTTCTGAGAGTTCTAGGAGGAATCCTAGTTCTAGGTGTGGCATTTGGGGAGAACACGGGGAAAGTGGTGTTGAGTGTTAAAAGAGGATGGTTCTGACAGTAGGGTGGTTACAATCCTTCTCCTTAAGCCTATCTTCTGTCTTGAAGCATAAGACTGAAAAAGTGTTCTGCAAGCTGACAAGTTATTGCTGTAAGGGGAAAAAGAAGAGGAGGAAAAAAATAAATCCCATGGAGTGAAGACAAAGGTGTGGGATCAAGGGACAAATGGAAGGAGAGAGGCCTTAATGGAAGATTCACGTGAGAGCATGGCTTGTATCAGTTCCAGAGGTAGCAATGACTTGGAGAATAAATTTGGCAGTGGTTCCTGTTCTTCTGGGCTGAGACCTTATAGAATATGACACTTCTTAAAAATGAGTCCCACTTGGCTGGGCACGGTGGCTCATGCCTATAATCCCAGTACTTTGGGAGGCCAAGGTGGGCAGATCATGAGGTCAGGAGATCGAGACCATCCTTGCCAACATGGTGAAACCCCGTCTCTACTAAAATACAAAAAATTAGCCAGGTGTGGTGGCACACGCCTGTAGTCCCAGCTACTCAGAAGGCTGGGGCAGGGAAATTGCTTGAACCTGGGAGGTGGGGCTTGCAGTAAGCCAAGACTGCACCACTGCAACTCCAGCCTGGTGACAGAGCAAGACTCTGTCTCAACAACAAAAAAGAGTCCCAGTCCAACTCAAGGCCTCCAACTTGGCTGAAGATGAATTCTCAGTATTGCGAATGCGTATTTTGAGAAAGGGTGTGGAAGTGGTGAAAACTCTGCTCTTTCTGGCTAAGTTTTAATCAGAAATCACATCTCTATTTACTTGAAAATCAGTCAGAATGTAGCTATACCAGGATCTATGTCCCTGGGAGCAGCAAAGCCTTAGTTGATCAAAAGTGCCTTTGAATGCACAGCAGCCCAGAGATGCAGCCTGGAGAAGAGACCTGGAGCCCTGCCTATGAGAGTAGTATGCCTCACCTGGCTATCTCCAATTTCCAAATTCAGTTAATTTTCTATTTTCTGACTCAAAGCTGTATATGGATAATGCTAAATTCGGCAACACATTCAGCATCTTCTCCGCACCAACATCTTTCTAAGTAGCGGAGATTCTGAGATGAACAAAACACAGTCCCACCCCTCCTACCTCACCAAGAGAAATTCAATCTTGCAAGAAATACAGGCATCCTGACCACGGTAAGAAGTATTCTAAGTGCTGTGATAGAAGTGTGTCCACAGAGAAATTATGCATTGGGCAGGAGGGTCGGGTGTTAGCAGACCCATTTGAGTTGGGCCTCGAGGAATAGATGATTAAGAGCTCACCAAAGAATGATGAGATGATAAAGGAATTTCTAAGCAGAGAGAAAAGCATGGGAAGATGGAGCAAGGATTTTGCATATTGTTTAAAGAAAGGATTTTTTTAAGGTAATATCAGATCTTTTCACACACTTGCTTAAAACCTTCCAGTGCCTTCCCATTGCACCTAAACAAATAGGTTAGTCTCAGGACTATGACATGACCTCTACCTACTTCATCTTGTACTTCTCTCGTTTTTGCTTGCTCTGCTTAGCCCACTGGCATTCTTTCTGTTCTTGTAATACACCAAGTTTATTCCTATTCTATTGCCTTTCCATTTACTGTTCTCTCTTTTGAACGTTCTTCCTCAATGCCTTCTCTTCTTTCAGATCTCATCTCAGATGCCACCTACACAAAGCAGTCTTTCCTGACCACTTAATTTAAATTAGACCTCTGACTGAAATCACTCTCTCTCAATCCCTTTTATTTTCTTCACAGCACTCATCACCATTTGAAATTGTTTCTCTCCACACTAGAGCATAAGCTTCTTTTTTTTCCTTCATAGGCTCACTTTATTTATTTATTTTTATTATTATACTTTAAGTTCTAGGGTACATGTGCACAATGTGCAGTTTTGTTACATAGGTATACATGTGCCATGTTCGTTTGCTGCACCCATCAACTCATCATTTACATTAGGTATTTCTCGTAATGCTATCCCTCCCCCAGCCCCCCACACCCCGACAGGCCCCAGTGTGTGATGTTCCCCACCCTGTGTACAAGTGATCTAATTGTTCAATTTCCACCGATGAGTGAGAACAGAGCATAAGCTTCTTGAGGGAGGCACTCAGTACCTACACGTTCCTGGTACAATGTGTGCATTAAATAGATGAATTAAATGGTGATTAGAACCTTGCGTTTGTAGGCAGGGCGCTCAGGAAGGCAGTAGTAGATATAAAGGTGGATAAGACTAGTAGCAATGATTTTTATAGTAATAATATCTACCAAATAATGGTTCATTTTCTTTTTTAATTTTTAGAAATATAACCCTTTTTCTCTTTTCTTTTTTTATTATAAGTTCTGGGGTACATGTGCACAACGTGCAGGTTTGTTACATAGGTATACATGTGCCATGTTAGTTTGCTGCACCCATCAACTCATCATTTACATTAGGTATTTCTCCTAATGCTATCCCTCCCCCATACCCCCACCCCCCAACAGGCCCCAGTGTGTGATGTTCCCCTCCCGGTGTCCATGTGTTCTCATTGTTCAACTCCCATTTATGAGTGAGAACATGAGGTGTTTGGTTTTCTGTTCTTGTGTTACTTTGCTGAGAATGATGGTTTCCAGCTTCATCCATGTCCCTACAAAGGACATGAACTCATCGTTTTTTATGGCTGCATAGTATTCCATGGTGTATATGTGCCACATTTTCTTTATCCAGTCTATCATTGATAGGCACTCCAGTTGGTTCCAAGACTTTGCTACTGTGAACAGTGCTGCAATAAACATATGTGTCCATGTGTCTTTATAGTAGAATGATTTATAATCCTTTGGGTATATACCCAGTAATGGGATGGCTGGGTCAAATGGCATTTCTAGTTCCAGATACTTGAGGAGTCACCACAGAGTCTTCCACAATGGTTGAATGAATTCACACTCCCATCAACAGTGTAAAAGTGTTCCTATTTCTCTACATCCTCTCCAGCACCTGTTGTTTCCTGACTTTTCAATAATGGCCATTCTAACTGGCGTGAGATGGTATCTCACTGTAGTTTTGATTTGCATTTCTCTGATGACCAGTGATGATGAGCATTTTTTCATGTTTCTGTTGGCTGCATAAATGTCTTCTTTTGAGAAGTGTCTGTTCATATAATTTGCCCACTTCTTGATGGGGTTGTTTGTTTTTTTCTTGTAAATTTGTTTAGGTTCTTTGTAGATTCTGTATATTAGCCCTTTGTCAGATGGCTAGATTGCAAAAATTTTCTCCCATTCTGTAGGTTGCCTATTCAGTCTGATGGTAGTTTCTTTTGCTGTGCAGAAGCTCTTTTGTTTAATTAGATCCCATTTGTCTATTTTGGCTTTTGTTGCCATTGCTTTTGGTGTTTTAAGCATGAAGTCTTTGCCCATGCCTATGTCCTGAATGGTATTGCCTAGGATTTCTTCAAGGGTTTTTATGGTTTTAGGTCTTACATTTAAGTCTTTAATCCATCTTGAGTTAATTTTTATATAAGGTGTAAGGAAGGGATCCAGTTTCAGCTTTCTGCTTATGGCTAGCCAGTTTTCCCAGCACCACTTATTAAATAGGGAATCCTTTCCCCCTTGCTTGTTTTGTCAGTGTGTCAAAGATCAGATGGTTGTAGATGTGTGGTGTTTTTTTCTGAGGGCCTCTGTTCTGTTCCATTGGTCTATGTATCTGTTGTGGTACCAATACTATGCTGTTTTGGTTACTGTAGCCTTGTAGTATAGTTTGAAGTCAGGTAGCGTGACACCTCCAGCTGTGTTCTTGTTGCTTAGGATTGTCTTGGCTATGTGGGCTCTTTTTTGGTTCCATATGAACTTTCAAGTAGTGTTTTCTAATTCTGTGAAGAAAGTCAGTGGTAGCCTGATGGTGATAGCATTGAATCTATAAATTACTATGGGCAGTATAGCCATTTTCACGATATTGATTCTTTCTATACATAAGCATGGAATGTTCTTCCATTTGTTTGTGTCTTCTTTTATTTCCTTGAGCAGTGGTCTGTAGTTCTCCGTGAAGCGGTCCTTCACATCCCTTGTAAGTTGGATTCCTAGATATTTTATTCTCTTTGTAGCAATTGTGAATGGGAGTTCACTCATGATTTGGCTCTCTGTTTGTCTGTTATTGGTGTATAAGAATGCTTGTGATTTTTGCACATTGATTTTGTACCCTGAGACTTTCCTGAAGATGTTTATCAGCTTAAGGAGATTTTGGGCTGAGACAATGGGGTTTTCTAAATAAACAATCATGTCATCTGCAAACAGGGACAATTTTACTTCCTCTTTTCCTATTGAATACCCTTTATTTCTTTCTCCTGCCTGATTGCCCTGGCCAGAATTTCCAATACTATGTTGAATAGGAGTGGTGAGAGAAGGTATCATTGTCTTGTGCCAGTTTTCAAAGGGAATACTTCCAGTTTTTGCCCATTCAGTATGATAGTGCCTGTGGGTCTGTCATAAATAGCTCTTATTATTTTGAGATGCATTCCATCAATACCTAGTTTATTGACAGTTTTTAGCATGAAGGGCTGTTGAATTTTGTTGAAGGCCTTTTCTGCATCTATTGAGCTAATCATGTGGTTTTTGTCATTGGTTCTGTTTATGTGATGGATTATGTTTATTGATTTGCATATGTTGAACCAGCCTTGCATCCCAGGGATGAAACCGACTTGATTGTGGTGGATAAGCTTTTTGATGTGCTGCTGGATTTGGTTTGCCAGTATTTTATTGAGGATTTTCACATCGATGTTCATCAAGGATATTGGCCTAAAATGTTCTTTTTTTGTTGTGTCTCTGCCCGGTTTTGGTATCAAGATGATGCTGGCTTCATAAAATGAGTTAGGGAGGATTCCCTCTTTTTCGGTTGATTGGAATTGTTTCAAAAGGAATGGTACCAGCTCCTCTTTGTGCCTCTGGCAGAATTTGGCTATGAATTTGGCTATGAATCTGTCTGTCCTGGACTTTTTTTGGTTGGTAGGCTATTAATTATTGCCTCAATTTCAGAACCTGTTATTGGTCTATTCAGAGATTTGACTTCTTCCTGGTTTAGTCTTGGGAGGGTGTAAGCATCCAGGAATTTATCCATTTCTTCTAGATTTTCTAGAAGAGAGGCATAGAGGTGTTTATAGTATTCTCTGACGGTAGTTTGTATTTCTGTGGGATTGGTGGTGATATCCCCTTTATCATTTTTTATTGCATCTATTTGATTATTCTCTCTTTTCTTCTTTATTAGTCTGGCTTGTGGCCTATCTATTTTGTTTATCTTTTCAAAAAATCAGCTCCTGGGTTCATTGATTTTTTGAAGGGTTTTTTGTGTCTCTATCTCCTTCAGTTCTGTTCTGATCTTAGTTATTTCGTGTCTTCTGCTAGCTTTTGAATTTGTTTGCTCTTGCTTCCCTAGTTCTTTTAATTGTGGTGTTAGGGTGTCAATTTTAGATCTTTCCTGCTTTCTCTTGTGGGCATTTAGTGCTATAAATTTCCCTCTACACATTGGTTTAAATGTGTCCCAGAGATTCTGGTGTGTTGTGTCTTTGTTCTCACTGGTTTCAAAGGACATCTTTATTTCTGCCTTCATTTCATTATTTACCCAGTAGTCATTCAGGAGCAGGTTGTTCAGTTTCCATGTAGCAGTGCAGTTTTGAGTGAGTTTCTTAATCCTGAGTTCTAATTTGATTGCACTGTGGTCTGAGAGACAGTTTGTTGTGATTTCTGTTCTTTTACATTTGCTGAGGAGTGTGTTGCTTCCAATCATGTGGTCAATTTTAGAATAAGTGCAATGTGGTGCTGAGAAGAATGCATATTCTGTTGATTTGGTGTGGAGAGTTCTGTAGATGTATATTAGGTCCACTTGGTCCAAAGCTGAGTTCAAGTCCCCGATATCCTTGTGAATTTTTTGTCTTGTTGATGTGTCTAATATTGACAGTGGGGTGTTAAAGTCTCCCACTATTATTGTGTGGGTGTCTAAGTGTCTTTGTATGTCTCTAAGAATTTGCTTTGTGAATCTGGGTGGTCCTGTATTGGGTGCATATATATTCAGGATAGTTAGCTCTTCTTGTTGAATTGATCCCTTTACCATTATGTAATGGCCTTCTTTGTCTCTTTTGGTCTTTGTTGGTTTAAAGTCTGTTTATCAGAGACTAGGACTGCAACACCTGCTTTTCTTTGCTTTCCATTTGCCTGGTAGGTCTTCCTCCATCCCTTTATTTTGAGCCTGTGTGTGTCTTTGCACATAAGATGGGTCTCCTGAATACAGCATACCAATGGGTCTTGACTCTGTATCCAATTTGCCAGTGTGTGTCTTTTAATTGGGGCATTTAGCTCATTTACATTTAAGGTTAATATTGTTATGTGTGAATTTGATCCTGTCATTATGATGTTAGCTGGTTATTTTGCCCATTAGTTGATGCTGTTCTTCATAGCATCGATGGTCTTTACAATGTGGCATGTTTTGCAGTGGCTGGTACCGGTTGTCCCTTTCTATGTTTAGTGCTTCCTTCAGGAGCTCTTGTAAGGCAGGCCTGGTGGTGACAAAATCTCTCAGCATTTGCTTGTCTGTAAAGGATTTTATTTCTCCTTCACTTATGAAGCTTAGTTTGGCTAGATATGAAATTCTGGGTTGAAAATTCTTTCCTTTAGGAATGTTGAATATTGGCCTCCACTCTCTTCTGGCTTGTAGTGCTTCTGCAGAGAGATCTGCTGTTAGTCTGATGGGCTTCCCTTTGTGAGTAACCTGACCTTTCTCTCTGGCTGCCCTTAACATTTTTTCCTTCATTTCAACCTTGGTGAACCTGACGATTATGTGTCTTGGGGTTGCTCTTCTCGAGGAATATCTTTGTGGTGTTCTCTCTATTTCCTGAATTTGAATGTTGGCCTGCCTTGCTAGGTTGGGGAAGTTCTCCTGGATAATATCCATAAGAGTGTTTTCCAACTTGTTTCCATTCTCCCCGTCACTTTCAGGTTCACCAATCAAACGTAGATTTGGTCTTTTCACATAGTCCCATATTTCTTGCAGGCTTTGTTCATTTCTTTTCACTCTTTTTTTTATCTAATCTTGTCTTCTCACTTTATTTCATTAATTTGATTTTCAGTCACTGATATCCTTTCTTTCACTTGATCAATTCAGCTACCGAAGCTTGCATGTGCTTCACAAGGTTCTCGTGCTACGTTTTTCAGCTCCAACGGGTCATTTATGTTCTCCTCTACACTGGTTATTCTAGTTAGCAATTCATCTAAGTTTTTTTCAAGGCTCTTAGCTTCTTTGCATTGGGTTAGAACATGCTCCTTTAGTTCGGAGGAGTTTGTTATTACCCATCTTCTGAAGCCTACTTCTATGAGTTTGTCAAACTCATTCTTCGTACAGTTTTGTTCCCTGGCTTGCAAGGAGTTGTGATCCTTTGGAGGAGAAGAGACATTCTGGTTTTTGGAATTTTCAGTCTTTCTGCACTGGTTTCTCCCCATCTTTGTGGTTTTTATCTACCTTTGGTCTTTGATGTTGGTGACCTACTGATGAGGTTTTGGTGTAGATGTCCTTTTTGTTGATGTTGATGCTATTCCTTCCTCTTTGTCAGTTTTCCTTCTAACAGTCAGGCTCCTCAGCTGCAGGTCTGTTGGAGTTTGTTAGAGGTCCACTCCAAACCTTGTTTGCCTGGGTATCACCAGTGGAGGCTGCAGAACAGCAAATATCACTGCCTGATCCTTCCTCTGGAAGCTTCGTCCCAGAAGGGCACCTGCCAGATGTCAGCCAGATCTCTCTTGTATGAGGGGTCTGTTGGCCCCTACTGGGAGGTGTCTCCCAGTCAGGCTACTCGGGGGTCAGGGACCCACTTGAGGAAGCACCCTGTCCATTATTAGAACTTGAACACTGTGCTGAGATAACCACTGCTCTCTTCAGAGCTGTCAGACAGGAACATTTAAGTCTGCTGAAGCTGTGCCCACAGCTGCCCTTTCCCCCAGGTGCTCTGTCTCAGGAAGATGGGGGTTTTATCTATAACTCTCTGACTGGGGCTGCTGCTTTTTGTTCAGAGATGCCCAGCCCACGAGGTGGAATCTAGAGAGGCACCTTGCTGAGCTGTGGTGGGCTCTGCCCAGTTTGAACTTCCCGGTGGCTGTGTTTACACTGTGAGCATAAAACTGCCTACTCAAGCCTCAGCAATGGCGGATGCCCCTCCCCCCACCAAGCTCCAGCATCCCAGGTCGATCTCAAGACTGCCGCGCTCACAGCAAGAATTTCAAGCCAATGGGATCTTAACTTGCTGGGCTCTGTGGGCATGGGACCTGCTGAGCCAGGCACCGGAGGGAATCTCCTGGTCTGCCGGTTGCAAAGACCATGGGAAAAGTGCAGTATCTGGGCATGAGTGTACCATTCCTCCCAGTACAGTCTCTCAAGGCTTCCCTTGGCTAGGAAGGGAAATCCCCTGACCCCTTGCACTTCCCGGGTGAGGCGACACCCTGCCCTGCTTCGGCTCACCCTCCATGGGCTGCATCCACTGTCCAACCAGTCCCAATGAGATGAACCAGGTACCTCAGTTGGAAATGCAGAAATCACCTGTCTTCTGCATCAATCTCGCTGGGAGCTGCAGACTGGAGCTGTTCCTATTCGACCATCTTGCCAGAAATCCATGGCTCATTTTCTTTGTGTTGGGCCCATGCTAAGCCCATTATCTTGTTTAACCTTCAGAGTAATCTTGGGACATAATAATTATGAGCCCTCATTTAAAGAAAAAGTATTTGAGAGATAGAGGGGAGTTCAGTAATACATTAACTTCATATTACTCCTAAAAAAATAACTAGTATTTGAACCCAGTTCTGTCTCACTCCAAAGGCCAAATTAAACAATTACATAGAGAAGGGAGATTGAGCTAACATCTCATTACTAGTCTGGGGGATCTTCTACAAGCATATGATTCCAACAGAAGGATACCTTTCAGGGCAAATTGTGGGAATGGGACAAATCAAACTCAGTAGTAGATTCCACATCTTGCCCTCAGCTAGCGAGAGATTCACTCTTTTCCTAAACTCCATGTATACGCACCAAGACAAAATATTAGGCCAATATATCCACTTTTACATTAAAATATCTAGAAATATCAGAAAAAATTATTTGATTTAAATGAAACACTTGAAGAGAAAGGGATTAATTCAGTTCATTCCCTGGACATTTCACTCATGATGGCCAAAAATGACATTTTGTCTTTTTTGAACATAATGTTTTTTGAACATTTGTGTATACGTTCATGTCTGTAGTTCTTCTAGGTCTAAAATAAATTTGAGGTGACTCACAGAAATGCATATAATACAAATGTAAATAAGTAAATAAAAGAGAAAATGAAGACCAGAAATTACAAGTAGGAAAATGAAACAAAGTTTGAAGTAAGATTAGTAGAAATCAATGCATGCCATAAGGTTTTGTACACTCATTAGAGGTAGGCTTTATTCCTACAAATCAAAGTAAGCAAGGAACTGATTTATCTTATGATTCTTAGAGTCCAAAAAATAAAAATAAATAACCCAGTTTTTTGGGCAAAAAATAAGCTGGTTACTCACAATTTTTCCTGGTCATGAAACCTGAAAATTTTTTTGTATGCTTTCATAAATGTTTTATCATCACCTTTAGAGTATATACATTAAATGTTTTTGTAAGATTATTTTTATGGAGCCCCTAAATGCAGGCAAACAGCAATATACTAAAGTGCCATTCTATAAAAGCAACTCTATGAGGCATCAAGATAGTGCAGGCCAGCTATGCAGCTCTCAGATTATCCAGATTGGTCCGAGGACAGGGAAACTAATGAACTGTGTTTCCTCAGGCAGGCTTCTATTAATGTTATTTCTTGAAACTAGACTTTTATTTACAATAAAATAGAAAAGTACTTGAGGTTCCATTGCATATCAAATTCCTAGAATACCAAAATAGATATTCCACTATGGTAGCTCAAGGCATAATCCTGTATTCTTAATGGTCACAAAAGTGGAAAGTAGATCTTATATGCTCTTTTGAAAATTAAGAAATCAACAAACTGTTGGGTAGGTACCAAGAAAGAACATCTAGATAGGGTGATGATTATTCACAGAAAAATATATAAGATCTAATCTAATGCCCTGGCAATCGGCATAGAGTTGCAAAGTTTTCTGCTTTCAATTTAAGTAAGGCAATATATTTTCTCTTTTAAGTAGAATTCAATTTTCAATGGAATTGTTGCTACTGCATTGAGCTGGCCAAGGGTTTTCTTATGCCTCAAAGAAACAAAATATTGGTAATCACTACAGTTATCCCTCAGTATCTGTAGGGGATATGTTCCAAGATACCTAACAAATATCAAAAATTGCAGACGCTCAAGTCCCTTATAGAAAATCACATAGCATTTGCATATAACCTATACACATCCTCCTATATATTTTAAATCATTTCAAGATTACTTGTAATACCTAAATGCTATGTAAATAGTTTTTATACTATATTTAGAAATTTGTACTTATTGTTGTATTGTTGAATCCATGGATGCAGAACCAGAGACAGGGAGGCCCAATTGTATACATTCACTATTGAGTGCATTTGACCTGAGCTCTAAAATGCTACTCTAAGAAAAGGAAGTCTGGAAAAGTTTCCTGTTCTGTGACTGTGTTTTAATAAATAAAAAGGCAGCTGTGATGAAGAGAAAGCAGCATATGGAATGAAAACCCTATAAGTAAATTGTCTGCAGAATGTTGCAGTAATCCCCATAGCATGTGCTTCCTAGAGAATGATGGGACATTTGTCAACACACATTGAGCAAATGATGGGAAAAGACTCCCATATATAATTCATCTCTCTATCAAGTTAAGTACACAAATACCTAAATTGTGGGTTGGCACAGACTAAATATTTAAAAGCTTCCCACAGTGCTCTAGGTCCTCATTGTTGCCATTCAGACAACACCAGGAAACAAGCATTTGCCTCATTCAGTGTCACTAACAAACACCTCTCCTCTTTTAGTCAACAAGCACCAGTCATTTTATGCTGGCTATTAGTGCTCTCTTTGGCCAAAACCAATTACAGAGAAACTTCAAGCTTTAAGGAATGTACCCACGTTATGCTTATAAATGTGCTTTATTTTAAAATTAGTTAGGTGTAAAATTCCCTACAATTTTCCTAAGAGGCTTTTATCATAACATCCATATCGCTTCAGTGAACTTCTGTGTGCGTGTGTGTGTGTGTGTGTCTCCCTCTCATAGATGGAAACTACTTGAACAGTGAGCTTTCCTTATTTGTCTTGGTACAACCAGCACCTATCACATAGTGGGTGCTTAAAGATTGTCAGTGAATAAATTAATTAATGCAAGAAAATATTTTTTGTTTATAAAAATATTTAGATTTTGAGTGTTTAACACCATCACCATCATCTCACTAATTCCCATATTGTAGCCTCCTGAACATGTCTGATTTAAATAACCAAAGATACATCAAGAATATTCCATACAATGCGTTCTGTGAGAGTTTGCATATTATCTCTCATTTGAAATCCAATTCCACTTACAAAACTGTACTTCACATGAACATTTTTTATATCATACCTACTATAAAAATGTATCAGATATATCAAACTAAAACTGTGTAAAGTACCCCAAGTAGATTTGGAAAAATAAATGGTTTTAGTCAAGTACATGGATGATGGCTTCTTACTAACTTGTTAGTAAGGTATCTAGGTATGACACAAAGTTAGTTTCAGAAACAAAAATAACTCATTCTTTGACCAAACAGTTTTTCCAAGTCAAGTTATTTCTTTCAAAAGAAGATAAAATCTATGTAAATAAACACTAAGTATAATGTCAGTTGTAAAACCAAAGTTGCTCTCTGATCAAATAAGATATTGTGAAGAGCTATGGAAGCAATAATTTTGCTTCCAAATGTATTTGTACCCAAAGATGACCAAAGGGAGGAGGGAGGAGGAAAGGAGGAAGGGGAAGTCAGTGAGTTCCTAATATGACTACTAAAAAGTATGATAATGTTAATATTAACAGTCAGCATTTATTAAGGGCTTACTATATAACAGGCATTGTTACATTTTATTCATTATTATTAATATACCCCTTTAAAGAATGAAAAACCAGGTTTGAAGAGGTTAAACAACTTCCCTAAGGTCCACACCTTACTGATGGTAAAATTAGGAACAAAATCCTGATGTGTCTGACTCTAAACCTGAGCAGATACTCACTAGGCTATGCTTATTTCTGACCAATACTCTAACCCTGTACTAAGGAAAGAGCTAAATCCAAAAGGCCTTGTCTCAAGGGTCTCACAGAGTAGGAGGAGAGAGAAGCAGGGAGAATGAGCTCCTGAAAGGCCTAGAATATGTCCTATCTCATGCTGTAATCCAATCCTGGGGCTTTAAAATACATATATATGATGCTAACTCCAAAATATGTATCTCACGTTGCACATTTCCCATGAGCTTCAGACATAGATTTAATTGTCCACTAGATATCTTTACTTGGATGTCTAATGGGCATCTCAAACCTGGTATGTCCAAAACAGAATTCTTGACTGTCTTTCTTCAGTGGTACTAACCAGTCACTGAATCTAGAAACCTAGTAGTCATCCTTGGATCTTCTCTTTCTGTCATATCCTACCTTAAATTTACAAGCAAGTTTGTTTGATACACTCTCGGAAATATATCTTAAATCCAGTCACTATTCAGCTCTCCACCTCCAGCCCTCACTAGCTCTCCCCTAGACCACTGCAGATACCTCTTTACTGGTCTCCTTTAAACCACCATTTTCTTTCTTCTGGGCCACTGTAGCAGCCTCTCTACAGCCTCTCTGCCCAAAGTCCTCCTTATCTTTCTCCTGGACCACTTCAGCACCTCTTTATTGACCTTTTGTCTTCAATCTTGCTTTTTCCCCTTCACTGCGCAATTCAGTCTATTCTATTCCTAGCAGCCAAAGTGATGTTTTAAACATAAGTCAGATTCCCATCACTTTGCTTGTTGTACATCTTCTAGTGGCTTTACATTAAAAATTCAAGGCAAAATCCAAAGTCCTTACTGCAGACTTCCAAGTTCTACCTCTCATCCAACTTGTAGCTGTTTCACAGATCTCTTTCTTACCACTTGCCCACTCTGTTACACCAGCAATCTTGAAACATAGATATGAAACACAGCCTAGCACATATTGAAGTGATTAATAGACATCTATTAACTAAATCCTGTTTCTTTAGGGTCTGCACAGGGCCTAGCACATCATATTTGGCAAAAATATTTATTAAACCCAAACAAACATGAATATTAAATGGTATGTGAATAAGAATACATTTGGAGCCAGCCAGACTCAAGGTTACAAAGCCACTTTTAAAGTCCTACTCAAGGATGGTAGACAGTCAAGGTGTATTAATCCATTTTCACACTGCTACAAAGAAATACCTGAAACTGGGTAATTCATAAAGGAAAGAGATTTAATTGACTCACCATGCCACATGCCTGGGGAGGCCTCAGGAAACTTACAATCATGATGGAAGGGGAAGCAGGCATGTCTTACATGGCAGCAGGTGAGAGAGAGAGACTGTGTGAAGGAGGAACACTATGAAACCATCAGTTCTCGTGAGAACTCACTCACTATCATGAGAACAGCATGGGAGAAACCACCCCCATGATCCAATCACCTCCCTCTCTTGACACGTGGGGATTACAGGTCCCTCCCTTGACACATGGGGATTACAATTTGAGATGAGATTTGGGTAGGGACACAGAGCCAAACCATATCACTGGGTAAGTGGGCTTACTCTGAAATCCTAACACTTGTAGTGTAGGCACTACTGGAGAATCCTACCCAGGTAAAAATGGTGGAATTGAGTCTTGAACTATGAGAGAGGGAATGAATCTCCATTATCTAGTCTGATTTTTCATTTTTGTTCTCATAATCAGCATCCTTGCCAAGTAGCACCCACCTTGGGCTTAAACTTCTTCAGTACCTGAAAAGTCACTGACACATTTGCCAAAGTTTTTCCTGCTTTATCAATTCCCCCAAATTATTTCTTTTCCTTTGACAAAACCAGTGCTAAGACATTTAGAAAAAAGAAGGGAAGAGAAGGTATTTTCTGAGCATCTATTGTATGCCAGTAACTGTGTTAATTGCTTTACCCAACTTAGCGTATTTAATATTCTTAACTACCTGAAAATCCCCAATTAAAGTCTAGAGAGATGATAGGACTTGCCTAAATCTTAATTTGAACAGAGGAAATTTCTCAATTTTGTGTGAAAAACAACCAACAAAAACACAACAAAACAAACAGAATACCACATAAATGTTAATAGAGTCCCAACAGGAAACTAGATGGCTCACACAAAGTAGTTAATGTTCAAGGAGAGTACAAAGCTGAACTATTTTCAAAGGTGTAAGCAGAGTAGAAGAACTTGAAGCAACAATATGGTACCCAGAGGTTAGAGAACACCTGGAAGCATAAAGAGAAAAGGGAAAGAGGGGCTACCAGGCTCTATAAGCTGAGGCGTCACTTTATATTAATAGCAACTATGACTTTCAACCAAAGGACATAGCCAGCCCTCACTGATCCCCAGTGAGGGAAATGAAGAAATGAATACCCCAACTTTGTTTCTCCTCCCTTTGATTTTTTGGAGGTACCCCTGATTGGCTGAAATCACAGGTCAAGGCAGTCTATGGATGTGCTCCATACAGGTCAGCCTTGGGGCAGGTGGAAGATAGAGATAATGAAAAAAGTTAGAGAGAGGAATAGGAGAGACAATGGAATATATGCTCCTTACCCACTTGAAGTTCATGGAAAGCTTTAAATAAACTAGAATTTGGATTACATTTCTTTGTCTAAATTGCCATATTGTATGTTTTAATCTGCCAATTCTTGTTTTGTTCACCGTAATACTTGAAACAAAAGATTCTCTTTAAATGATTATTATTTTGAAATTACAGTCCAATTTAATAAAAATTATGTGGTTTTTCATATCAACTTTTCTGAAAATTCCTTTTTGGTATTTTGTGAACATCCCATAGTTCTTCCAGAGCATTTATATATAGCCTTTTTAAATTGTTTCTCTAAAACAATTAGAATTTCATTATTATATTTGAAATTTTAATACAGTCATTATAATGTCAAAGGAAACTTCTCTGAGACACATTCATATTTTCATATTAATAGAAGTGCTGTTATAATGTTAATAGAAAAATGGGTTTAATCAATTATTTAATTCATTCATTAACTACATACTACCCCAAAACTCAAGGGAATATAAAACAAACAGCTCATTTGAACAACAAAAAAGGATTGTGCTTTGGAAACATTCAAGGTATATTCAGTAACTTTAAATAACTGTAATCTAGATTGACTAATTCCATAAAAATAGAAAGAGCATCCCATATAAAAATGACTCAGCTCCTGGAGTCAGACATACAAGGGATAAAGTCCCAGCTCTACAGTTTCCTAGCTGTTTCATTTTGCAGTCTTAAAGTCTCTGAGCCTCAGTTTCTTTGTCTACAGAATGGGTGAATTGATTTGAATCTCATAGGATTGTTTGAGAATTGTGGTAATTAAAATATGTAAGAATTCTACTACAGTGCTTGACACATTGAAGATGCTCAGGAAATAGGAGGTAATGTCTGTTCATTTTTATTCTCAAATAGGGCTTATAAGAGATATCCTTGCCTCTCTTTCTACTTAAGGATATCTTTTACATCATCTCTCACTCCAGAGCCTGAAAGTAGCCAAAGGCAAGAAGTCCTCTGCTTCTTCCCCTATGGGCTCTGCCCCATCATTCTTTATTCTTTAAGAAAAAGGCACTCACCAAGCCAAAGTTCCCCATCCCCCAAATGTGTTTTTCCAAGTCTTAGCATAGTAAAGGAAAAAGCCAAAGTTTTTTTATACCTCCAATAGAAAAGAAACCATTCCCAATTCTGTTGCACTCTAAGACCCAAGACAGGGTCAGAGGAGCTAGAGATAGGAAACTTGAAAATGTCAATCCATGAAGAGTAATGACCTTTTCCACGTGTTTGGCACAGTCCTTCCCTAAGGAAGTTGGCATTTAAAAAGAAGGCTGGATTTAGGAGCAACAGTAGATATCATTGCTCCAATTTCAAAAGGTAGAAAACAAGATCAATGTCAAACCAGATTTTGATTAAGAGGAGGGCCACCAAAGCAGATGCCAAGGATGTTAATCTCTAAGATGTGTTCAACATAAATGAAAGTATAATGAGATGATGATAAAAACTGCATGTAATGGAACTATCCACTATATGTACTTAGAAGTAATGCCTTATAAACTGCTGGGGTAGATGTGATGTAGGAGAGAAGACACCCATTCCTAAGTTACAACAAATTTTTACTAATTGGATAGAGAAAAAAGGCAAGCCCTTAGTCTCAGGCTTTCATTTTGCTGAGAGGATTTTACAAATTTGGGGCCAATGCTGAGTGTATCAGTCCATTCTAATGCTGCTAATAAAGACATACCCAAGACTGGGTAACTTATAAAAGAAAGAGGTTTAATGGACTCACCGTTCCACATGGCTGGGAAGGCCTCACAATCATGGTGAAAGGTGAAGAAGGGGCAAAGCCACATTTCACATGTGGCAGGCAAGAGAGCTTGTACTGGGGAACTCCCATGTATTAAACCATCAGATCTCATGAGACTTTTTCACTACTGTAAGAACAGTAAGGGGAAAACTGCTACCATGATTCAATTATCTCCACCTGGCCCTGCCCTGGACATGTGGGTATTATTACAATTTAAGGTGAGATTTGGGTGGGGACAGAGCCAAATCATATCATTCTGCCCATGGCCTCTCCCAAATCTCATGCCCTCACATTTCAAAACCAATCATGCCTTCCAAACAGTCCCCCAAAGTCTTAACTCATTTCAACACTAACTTAAAAGTCCATAGTCCAACATCTCATCTGAAACAAGGCAAGTCCCTTCCACCTATGAGCCTGTAAAATCAAAAGCAAGTTAGTTACTTCCTAGATACAATGGAGGTACAGGCATTGGGTAAATATATCCATTTTAAATGGGAGAAATTGGCCAAAACAAAGAGGCTGCAGGCCCCATGCAAGTTTGAAATCCAGCAGGGCAGTGAAATCTTAAAGCTCCAAAAAGATTTCATTTGACCCCATGTCTCACATTCAGGTCATGCTGATGCAAGAGGTGGATTCTCATGGTCTTGGGCAGCTCTGCCCCTGTGGCTTTGTAGTGTACAGCCACCCTCCTGGCTGCTTTCATGGGCTGGTGTTGAGTGTCTACAGCTTTTCCAGGAGCATAGTGCAAGCTGTTGGTGGATCTACCATTCTGGGGTCTGGAGGATGGTGGCCCTCTTCTCACAGCTCCACTAAGCAGTGTCCCAGTGGGGACTCTGCGTTGGGACTCCAACCCCACATTTCTCTTCCTACACTGCCCTAGCAGAGGGTCTCCATGAGGGTCCTGCCCCTGCAGAAAACTTTTGCCTGGACATCCAGGCATTTCCATACATCCTGTGAAATCTAGATGGAGGTTCCCAAACCTCAATTCTTGACTTCTGCACACCTGCAGGCTCAACACCACATGGAAGCTGCCAAGGCTTGGGGCTTGCACCCTGTGAAGCCAGGGCTGAAGCTGAACCTTGGCCCCTTTTAGCCACAGCTGGAGAGGTTGGGACACAGGGCACCAAGTCCCCAGATAAGAGCGGGGGGCCCTGGGCCCAGCCCACAAAACCATTTTTTCCTTCTAGGTTCCCAGGCTTGTGATAGGAGGGGCTGCCATGAAGTTTTCCAACATGCTCTGGAGACATTTTGGCTCCTCGTTATTTATGCAAATTTCTGCAGCTCTATTGAATTTCTCCTCAGAAAATTGGTTTTTCTTTTCTACAGCATCATCAGGCTGCAATTTTTCCTAACTTTTATGCTGAGCTTTCCTTTTAAACATAAGCTCCAATCCAAATTATACCTTTGTGAATACATAAAACTGAATGCTTTTAAGAGCATCCAAGTCACATGCTTTGCTGCTTAGAAGTTTCTTTCGCTAGATACTCTAAATCATCTCTCTCAAGTTCAAAGTTCCAAAGATCTCTAGAGCAAGGGCAAAATGCTGCCAGTCTCTTTGCTAAAGCATAACAAGAGTCACCTTTGCTCCAGTTCCCAACAAGTTCCTCATCTCCATCTGAGACCACCTCAGCCTGGACCTCATTGTCCATATCACTATCAGCATTTTGGCCAAAGCCATTCAGAGTCTCTAGGAAGTTCCAAATTTCCCCACATCTTCCTGTCTTCCGAGCCCTCCAAGTCTCTAGGAAGTTCCAAACTTTCCCACACTTTCCTATCTTCTGAGCCCTCCAAACTGTTCCAGTCTCTGCCTGTTACCCAGTTCCAAAGTCACTTCCACATTTTCAGGTATCTTTAGAGCAGCACCCCACTCTACCATTACCAATTTACTGTATTATTTCACTCTCATGGTGCTAATAAAGACAAGCCTGAGACTGAGTCATTTATAAAGGAAAGAGGTTTAAATAAGTCACAGTTCCACATGGCTGCGGAGTCCTCATGATCATGGCAGAGGGTGAAGGAGGAGCAAAGGTACATCTTACATTACAGCAGGCAAGAGTGCTTGTTCAGGGGAGCTCCCATTTATAAAACCATCAGATCTCATGAGACTTACTGACTACCATGAGAACAGTATGGGAGAAACCACCCCCATGATTCAATTAACTCCACCTGGCCCTGCCCTTGACACATGGGGATTATGACAATTCAAGGTGAGATTTGGTTGGGGACAGAGCCAAACCATATCACTGAGTTTTTCAAGATAACAGAGCAGAAACCATGTCTGGTAACCTGGGATCTTCCTTTTGGCCTCTTCCCTCCTGCAGCATTCAGACTCTTCTCTAGACCAAACTATTGACAAAAATATGTTAAAAAACATCAGATTAGAGGGGTTCCAAATCAATGATTGGCTTGAGACAGCCACACGCCTTGGTCTGAGCTTATCAGCAATTAAGTGATGGGTCTGAGACCGTCATGTTGTCCTTTTTGACTCCAAATTCTAAGTTCTCTTCACTTACCTACTATGAATTTCAAGGTGTGATGGTTTAATTTTGTTGTTGTTGTTGTTAATTTGACTGAGCCAAGGGATGCTGACAGCTAGTGAAACATTATTTCTGGGTGTATTTGTCAGGGTATTTTCATAAGAGATTAGCATTTGAATTGGTAGACTGAGTAAAAAAAAATAACCTACGCAGGTGGACATCATGGCATCTGCTGAGGATGTAAATAAAACAAAAAAGCAGGAGAGCAAATTTGCTGTCTCTGCCTGAGCTGAAACATCCATCTCCTCCTGCCTTGGACATTGACATTCCTGGTTCTTAGCTCTCGGATTTAGACTGGGACTTTCATCATCATCATCATCATCATCATCATCATCATCATCATCATCATTCTCTTGCCCCAATTCTCAGGCCTTTGGACTTACACTGGGATTTATACACTTGGCTCCCCTGGTTCTCAGGCCTTTTGTGTTGGACTGAATTACATCGCCAACTTTCTTGGTTCTCTAGCTTGCAGGTAGCAGCTTGTGGGACTTCTTGGACTTCACAATCATATGAGCCAATTACTATAAAAATATCTATCTAGGAGTTGGGTCAAGATGGTGGACTACAAGCAGCTCATGTGTGCTGTTCTCATGGAGAGGAAACAAAAGGGCTAGTGAACATTGACTCTGCAGGGCAATCATCGAGAAACCATGTCAGGATCCATCAAGCAGCAGTGGGGCATAGAGAGCAGAGAATAGCGAATCTGGTTACCAGACTGTCTGGGCTCAGTGCTGAGGCAGAAAAAGTTATCCAACAGAAGAAAGGGTGAGTAAGTGAGGGTCCCCTGGGGGATTCATACTCTCCAAAGGGACCTATGCAAGACTAAAAATGGGAGACCCTCTCTAGCTCCCCTGTTTCCCCCTACCACACTTCTATACTGAGGCAGAGAGCCACCTGGACATTTTGTGGGGGCAACTCTTGAGTCCAAGGGGACCGCTACATGTTTTGGGCCCCAGAGCAGATCAGCGTTGGTGTCATCACCCCAGTAGAGGCTGCAGTCATAGTAAGATTGGAGCAAGATTGCTCCACCCCTTTGTTAGACAAGGTTTGGTGCCAGCCTCCAGCCCCGTGGTCTCATTTCTATCTGAACTCAGGCAGTGGCTGCAGACTCCTATTGTCCTGGGAAGCACCTAGACAAGGCAGGTGACCACCCCCTACCCCAACCACTGGTAGCCAGGTGGCGATAGGCAATACCTGCTAGAGCTTCTAGCCCACTGGTCCTACTTCTATGTGAATTCAGCCAGTGGTCTGAGCCTCTCATTGCCCTGAGAAATAGTCAGACAATAGGGTAGGCAACCTTGCCCATTCCCATTGCTAGTAGCCAGACTGGCAACACCTGCTACAGCTTCCAGTCCAGCGGTCTTACTTCTGGCTGGACTCAGCTGGCAGCTGCAGCCTCCTCTTTTCCCAGGAAAGCAGGGGTGGGGGTGACCTCACCCACCCCTGCTGCTGGTAGCCAGGTGGGCAATGTCTTCTAGAACTTCCAGCTCAGTGGCCCCACTTCTGTGTAAACTCAGCTGAAGTTTACAGCCTCCCGTTGTCCTAGGAAACAACTGGACAACAGAGCAGACAACCCCACCCATCCTGCCACTGGTATCCAGGCAAGCTACATCTGCTAGAGCTTCCACCCAAGCAGTCCTACTTCTGCTTGAATTTGCCAAGGGGCGCAGGCTCCCATTGCTGCAGAAACACCTAGACAGCAGAGTGGGCAACTCCACTCACCCTTGCCTCTTGTAGCCAGATGGGCCACACCTGCTAGAGCTTCCAGCCCAGTGGTCCTGCCTCTGCCTGAACTCTGTGGGAAGGCACATCCCCGTATTCCCCCAGGAAGAACTCAGACAGCAGATTAGGGCTGACCCAGCAAAGATGCAGCCTGCCTGCCAACTGTAGCCCCTGCCTGAGGGAGCCCCATGGACCAGAGCACCCAAACAAAGAAATGCAAGCATGAAGACAGTAATTAGTGGAATCTCCTTCAAGGCTCAGGAGTGGTCTAGAATTAAGGCCAATCAACTGAACCCCACCTTATACCACAATCAAATTACCAAATCACCAAGGGCATAAGAGAAGGTAAAAGAAAAAAAAAAAGCCAAAAACCCACCCACCACCACCAACAAAAAAACACACCCAAAGAACAGCAACTTCAAATACTGAGGGAACATCAGCCCACACAGATGAGAAAGAACTAGTGCAAGAGCTCTGACAAGTCAAAGAGCCAGAGTGTCTTCTTACCTCCCAACAACTGCACTAGTTCTCCAGCAATGGTTCTTAACGAGGCTGAAATGGTTGAAATGTCAGAAATAGAATTCAGAATATGGATAGGAATGAAGATCATCAACATTAAAGAGAAAGTTGAAACCCAATCCAAAATATCTAAGGACTACAATAAAATGACATAATAGATAAAAGATGAAATGGTCATTTTAAGAAAGAACTAAAGTGAACTCATAAAGCTGAAAAACTCACTTCAGAATTTCATAATACAATTGCATGTACTAGCAGAAATGACCATGCTGAGGAAAGAATCTTAGAGCTCAAAGACTGGCTCTCCAAAATAACTCAGTCAGACAAAATTGAGAAAAATCAATAAAGAAGAATGAACAAAACATCTTAGAAATATATGATTACATAAAGAGACAAATCTTTAACTCACTGACATATCCAAAAGAGAGGGAGAAAAATCAAGTAACTTGGAAAACATATTTGAGGATATCACTCACAAAAATTTCCCTAACCTCACTAGGCAGGCCAACATTCAAATCCAGGAAATACAGAAAACCCTTGTGATATACTATACAAGATGACCATCCCCAAGACACATAGTCATCAGATTCTACAAGGTCACAATGAAAGAAGAAATGTTAAAGGCAGCTAGAGAGAAGGGGCAGGTCACCTAGAAAGGGAACCTCACCAGGCTAACAGAGGACCTTTCGGCAAAAACCATACAAGCCAGAAGAGACTGAGGGTCTCTATTCAACATTCTTAAAGAAAATAAATTCTACTTAAGAGTTTTATATCCAGCCAAACTCAGCTTCATAATGGAAAAATAAGGTCTTTTTCTGATAGGCAAATAGTAACACAATTGATTACCATCCAATTTGCCTTACAAGAGGTCCTTAAGGGAGTGCTAAATATGGAAAGGAAAGATTGTTCCTGGCCACCACAAAAACACACTTAAGTATATAGAGTATTGACACTATAAAGCAACCACACAATCAAGTATTCACAATAACTAGCTAACAATATGATGACAGGATAAAACCTGCACATATCAATATTAACCTTGAATGTAAATGAGCTAAATACCTCAATTAAAAGGCACAGAGTTGCGAGTTGCATAACGAATGCCCAACCGTATGCTGTCTTAAAAGCAAAACAAAACAAAAAACCTATCTCATATGCAATAACACCCATAGCCTAAAAGTAAAAGGATGAAGGAAAATCTATCAAGCAAACAGAAAACAGAAAAAAGCAGGAGGTGCTATTCTAATTTTGGGCCAAAAAAGAAAGGATTTTAAACCAACAATGAGTAAAAAAGACAAAGAAGGGCATTACATAGTGGTAAAAAATTGAATTCAACAAGAAGTTCTAGCTATACTAAAAATATGTACACCCAACACAGGAGTACCCTGATTCATAAAGCAAGTTCTTAGAGACCTACAAAGAGACTTAGCTAATCATACAATAATAGTAGGAGATGTCAACATCCCATTGACAGTATTAGACAGATCATCAAGGCAGAAAATGAACAAAGATATTCAGGACCTGAACTGAACATTTGACTAAATGGGCCTAACAGACACCTACAGAACTTTCCAACCAAAACAACAGAATACACATTCTTCTCACATATCTCATGGCACATATTCTAAAATTGACCTCACAATTTGGCATAAAATAATCCTCAGCAAATTAAAAAAAATCAAAATCATACCAAACACAGTCTCGAATATCAGCACAATAAAAATAGAAATCAATACTAAAAAAGTTTCTCAAAACCATACAATTACATAAAAATTAAACAACCTGCTCTTGATTGACTTTTGGGTAAACAATGAAACTAAGACAGAAATCAAGAAATTCTTGGAAACTAATGAGTGCTAAGACACAACATCTCAGAATCTCTGGGACACAGCTAAAACAGTGTTAAGAGAGAAGTTTATAGCACCAAATGCCCACATCAAAAAGTTAGAAAGATCTCAAGTTAACCACCTAATATCACCTCTAGAGGAACTAAAGAAACAAGAGAAAACCAAACCTGAAGCAAGCAGAAGACAAGAAATCACCAAATTCAGAGCTGAACTGAAAGAAATTGAGATGGGAAAAAAAAACATTCAAAAGATCAATGGATACAGGAGTTGGTATGTTGAAAGAAGAAATAAGATTGATAGACTGCTAGCTAGACTAATAAAGAAAAAAGATATCCAACTAAATTCAATCAGAAATGACAAAGGAAACATTACCACTGACCTTACAGAAATACAAAAAACCTCAGAAACTACTATGAACTCCTCTGTGCACACAAGCTAGAACATCTGCAATAAATGATTACATTTCTTGAAATGTCTATACAAGACTGAACAAGGAAGAAGCTGAATCTCTGAACAGAACAATAATAAGTTCTGAAATTGAATCAGTAATAAAAAGTCTACCAACCAGAAAAAGCCTAGGACCAGATGGAAGCACAGCCAAATTCTACCAGATGTATAAAGAAAAACTGGTACAATTCCTACTGAAACTATTCCAAAAAATTGGGGAGGAAGGACTCCTATCTAACTCATTCTATGAGGCCAGCATCATCCTGGCCACCAAAACTTGGCAGAGACACACACACACAAAATAAAACTTCAGGCCAGTATCCTTGATGAACACTGATGCAAAAATCCTCAGCAAAATACTAGCAAACCAAGACCAGCAGCACATCAAAAAGCTAATATGCCATGATCAAGCAGGCTTTATCCCTAGGATGCAAGGTTGGTTCAACATTGCAAATCAATTAATATGATTCACCATGTGAACAGGAGTCAAAAACTACATCGTCTCAATAGATGCAGAAAAAGCTTTTGATAAAAATCAGCATGGCTTCATGTTAAAAATCCTCAACAAAATAGGCACTGAAGGAACATACCTCAAAATAATGACATCCATCTATGACAAACCTACAGCCAACATACTGAATGGGTAAAAGCTGGAAGCATTCTCTTTGAGAACTGGAACAAGATAAGAATGCTCACTCTCACCACTCCTATTCGATATAATACTAGAAGTCCTAGCCAGAGCAATCAGGCAAGAGAACAAAATAAAAGGCATCCAAATAGAAAGAGAGGAAGTCAGACTATCCCCGTTTGCAGACTATATAATTCTATACCTAGAAAACCCCATAATCTCTTTCCAAAAGCTCCTAGATCTGACAAACAACTTTAGCAAAGTTTCGGGATGCAAAATCAATGTACAATAATCAGTAGCATTTCTGTACACCAACAATGTCCAAGCTGAGAACCAAATCAAGAATGCAATCCCATTCACAATAGCCACAAAAGAATAAAATACCTAGGAATATAGCTAACCCAGGAGATGAAAGACCTCTGCAATGAGAATTACAAAACACTGCTCAAAGAAATCAGAGATGATGCAAACAAATAGATAAATATTCCATGCTCATGGATAGGAAGATTCAATATTGTTAAAGTGACCATACTGCCCAAAGCAATATATAGATTCGATGCTATTCCTATCAAACTACCAATGACACTCTTTGCAGAATTAGAAAAAAACTATTTTAAAATTCATGTAGAGTCAAAAAAGAGCTCAAATAGCCAAGGCAATCCTAAGCAAAAGGAACAAAGCTGGAGGCATCACGTTACCTGACTTCAAACTATATTACAAGGCCAAAGTAAGCAAAACAGCATGGTACTGGTATAAAAATATACACATAGACCAATGGAACAGAATAGAGAGCCCAGAAATAAAGCTGCACACTCACAACCATCTGATGTTTGACAAAGTTTACAAAAGCAAACAACGGGAAAAGGACCCCCATTCAGTTAGTGGTGCTGGGATTACTGACTAGCCATATGCAGAAGATTGAAGCTGGACCTCTTCCTTACACCATATACAAAAATAAACTCAAGATGGATTAAAAACTTCAATGTAAAACTTAAACTATAAAAATTCTAGAAGACAACCTAGGAAATATCATTCTGGACCTAGGCCCTGGAAAAGATTTCATGACAAAAATGCCAAAAGCAATTATGACAAAAACAAAAATTGACAAATGGGAACAAATTAAAGAGGTTCTGCATAGCAAAGAAAACTCAACAAAGCAACCAGACAACCTATAGAATGGGAGGAAATATTTGCAAACTATGCATCCAACAAAGATCTGACATCCAGAGTCTATAAGGAGCTTAAACATATTAACAAACAAAAAACAACCATATTGAAAAATTGGGCAAAGGACATGAAGAAGCATACAAAAAATGCTGAACATCACTAATCATTAGAGAAAGGCAAATAAAAATCACAATAAGATATCATCTCACACCAGTTATTATTAAAAAGTCAAAAAATAACAAATTTGGCAAGGTTGCAGAGAAAGGGAAATCCTTATACACTGCTGGTGGAAATGGAAATAGTTCAACTACTGTGGAAAGCAGTATGGTGATTTCCCAAAGAACTTAAAACAGAATTTTAATTCAACCCAGAAATCCCATAATTGGGTATACACCCAAAGGAATATAAGTCATTCTACCATAAAAACACATGCACGCATATGTTTATCTCAGCGCTATTCACAATGGCAAAGACATGGAATCAACCTAAATGCCCATCAATAGTAGAGTGGATAAAGAAAATGTGGTACATACACATCATGGAATACCACACAGTCATAAAAATGAACAAAATGATGTCCTTTGCAGCAACATGGATGGAGCTGGAGGCCATTATCGAAGTATGAAGAAATAACATAGGAACAGAAAACCAAACACCACATGTCCTCATTTATAAGTGGGAGCTAAACATTGAGTACATATGGACACAAAGATGAGAACAGACACTGGGGCCTACTTGAGGGTGGAGGGTGGGAGAAGGGAGAGGATAGAGAAACTACCTATCTGGTACTGGTACCTGGGTAATGAAATAATCTGTACACCAAACCCCCACAACACGCAATTTACCTATGTAACAAACCTGCACATGTACCCCTGCAACTATAATAAAAGTTAAAACAAAACAAACAAATGAATAAACATCTATGCATCCTATTGGTCTGTTTCTCTGGAGAACTCTGACTACTACAAAGAGAATTCAAAATCTTAAGATAAAGGATAATGTTTTAGAGTGTGTAAACTCAGGAAGAGAAGAGAGAAAGACTTACAAGGCAAGTCCAGAAAATGTTTGCTGAGCTAAATTCCTTAGCCAATAACAGAGCCATCTCTTTATCCAAACGTTCTGTTTGTCCTACACTTGGAGCATCTTATTGTTCCCCCTACTTCAATAACCTCAACAAACTTGCTTCTACCTTTTCAATTTATTCCTTGAGGCTCATTTTCTGAATCTGACAAAAAAGAATCATATTTTATGGTTATTGTAGAGATTAAACCTATGTAAAGCATCTAGACTAGTACCTGTGCAACAAATGATGGTTGTAATTATCAATTTTGTTCTTGTTTCTCCTTCTACCATCATTATCAGACTATCTTGGAATTTTCTGTTTCATACCTGCCCTTCTCAGCAGACTGTGAGCAACTCAGTGGCATGGGGTCCACATCAGCTCACCTCTGCATCTTAGCTCTCAGCATAGAGCTTGGTACAGAGAAAATTTTCAAATATTTGTTGAAGGAATGAAAGAGTGAATGGCTTTCTCCTTTTCTGAACACTGTTCTGCCAGGCCCAACTGCTTGCAGTTACTTGAATGGCACTTGAAATTTACTCTTCAGAGGACAGTGGTAAAGGAGGCCTTTTGTGAAGATGACCTTTAGGTTTTGGTTCTATTCAGTTGCATTTTCCTTCTTTTATTTCACAAGAAGAGAAACTGGATGAGACATCAAGGGAAAAGACATAAAATCCTGGAGAGCCTAGATGGAATTTGCACCTCCCCAAATTGCCCTGAGGTCCTTAGATTGCAACTAATTATCACCAATAATTAGGGCTGCTCTTCAGAGAAGCAGAAATAGTGTCCTGTAGAGAGCATACCATGTTCCTCAAAGAGAAATTCAAATGGGACAGATGTCAGTCCCCTCCCAGCATCTTTTGCTGATGAGGGGGCTCTAGTCTGCTTCAGTAACTGACCCAGAGACTTACTGCCTGGACTGACAAGATAATAATGAGAAAACAACACAACGCATCTTGAAAGTGTTTTGAAATTTTAAAAATTCTTTTATAGCCAATATCTTACTAGATTCTCACACCAGTCATATAATGGAAATAAGATTTATTAATTCATTGTAGACCTACCATGTACAATTTACTTGGCTAAGCACTGAAAATATAGTAGTAAGCACATCACACAAAATACCTGCCTTTAAAGAATTTGAAGATTCATGCATAAGACAGTAAATAAATGTCATTACAGTACAGTGTAAGCAGTACTATAAATAAAAGTATAGGTAACTATGCTAAAAATTATGTTCACATTGTGTGATTCTGTGACTAGATGACTTGGAGAAGGTAGTATTTGACTGTTACAGCAAATGAAAGTAATGTAATATCTCCAACATAAAAAAAGCAAATTCACAGAAATGAAATAACTTGTTCATGGTTGTATAATAACTAGAGAGCCAAAACCAAAACCTAGGTTCTTTAACTTCAAATCTTTGGCTTGTTATAAGAAAGCATCTCTATTCAATATACAATTTGCCTCTACAGCTTTCCTAAAAATGTCTATCTAGACTCTGCTTGAATACATTTAGTGACAAAAGCTTACCACTTCATAAGGTAGCTCATTTCATCATAGGATAGAGTTCATCTTTAAAACTTTCTTCTTTAACAGAAATAGCAATGGGGAGGAAATATTGTGTTTAAAGAAAGAAGGGGCTTGTGTATAGCTGTGGATACAGAAAGTGTGACTTTTCGCATAGTTTTGTGAGATAGACAGAAAACTAGAGCTCTGGCTAAAATGAAAAGGATGGAATAGGCCAAGAGTTGATACAGATGCAGAGCAACTAGGATTCTCATACAGTGCTGGCAGAAGTGTCAATTGGTAGTACTGGCACTATTTATAAAATAAAACATATGGGCAGTAGGTTGAATACTACCCCCCACTCCCCTACCCCCACCAAAGATGTCCACGTTCTAATCCCTAGAACCTGGGAATTTTACCTTATATGGCAAAAGGCATTTTGCAGATGTGATTAAATTCAGGATTTTGAGATGGGGATATTATCTGGGATTATCTGGATGGATCTCATTTAATCACAAGGGTTCTTTTAAGAGTGAACACAATGCATTTTGTTAAAGGCCTTTTCTGCATCTATTGAGGTAATCATGTGGTTTTTGTCGTTGGTTCTGTTTATATGCTGGATTATGTTTATTGATTTGCAGATGTTGAACTAGCCTTGCATCCCAGGGATGAAGCCCACTTGATCATGGTGGATAAGCTTTTTGATGTGCTGCTGGATTCAGTTTGCCAGTATTTTATTGAGGATTTTTGCATCGATGTTCATCAGGGATATTGGTCTAAAATTCTTAAAACTCTCAATAAATTAGGTATTGATGGGCTGTATCTCAAAATAATAAGAGCTATTTATGACAAACCCACGGCCAATATCATACTGAATGGGCAAAAACTGGAAGCATTCTCTTTGAAAACTGGCACAAGACAGGGATGACCTCTCTTACCACTCCTATTCAACATAGTGTTGGAAGTTCTGGCCAGGGCAATCAGGCAGAAGGAAATAAAGGGTATTCAGTTAGGAAAAGAGGAAGTCAAATTGTCCCTGTCTGCAGATGACATGATTGTATATCTAGAAAACCCCATCATCTCAGCCCAAAATCTCCTTAAGCTGATAAGCAACTTCAGCAAAGTCTCAGGATACAAAATCAATGTGCAAAAATCACAAGCATTCTTATACACCAATAACAGACAAACAGAGAGCCAAATCATGAGCAAACTCCCATTCACAATTGCTTCAAAGAGAATAAAATATCTAGGAATCCAACTTACAAGGGATGTGAAGGACCTCTTTAAGGAGAACTACAAACCACTGCTCAAGGAAATAAAAGAGGATACAAACAAATGGAAGAACATTCCATGCTCATGGGTAGGAAGAATCAATATTATGCAAATGACCATACTGCTCAAGGTAATTTACAGATTCAATGCCATCCCCATCAAGCTACCAATGACTTTCTTCACAAAATTTGAAAAAACTACTTTAAAGTTCATATGGAACCAAAAACGAGCCCACATTGCCAAGTTAATCCTAAGCCAAAAGAACAAAGCTGGAGGCATCACGCTACGTGACTTCAAACTATACTACAAGGCTACAGTAACCAAAACAGCATGGTACTGGTACCAAAACAGAGATAGATATAGACCAATGGAACAGAACAGAGCCTTCAGAAATAATGCAACATATCTACAACTATCGGATCTTTGACAAACCTGACAAAAACAAGAAATGGGGAAAGGATTCCCTATTTAATAAATGGTGCTGGGAAAACTGGCTAGCCATATGTAGAAAGCTGAAACTGGATCCCTTCCTTACACCTTATACAAAAATCAATTCAAGATGGATTAAAGACTTAAACATTAGACCTAAAACCATAAAAACCCTAGAAGAAAACCTAGGCAATACCATTCAGGACATAGGCATGGGCAAGGACTTCATGTCTAAAACACCAAAAGCAATGGCAACAAAAGCCAAAATTGACAAATGGGATCTAATTAAACTAAAGAGCTTCTGCACAGCAAAAGAAACTACCATCAGAGTGAACAGGCAACCTACAAAATGGGAGAAAATTTTTGCAATCTACTCATCCGACAAAGGGCTAATATCCAGAATCTACAATGAAATCAAACAAATTTACAAAAAAAAACAAACAACCCCATCAAAAAGTGGGCAAAGGATATGAACAGACACTTCTCAAAAGAAGACATTTATGCAGCCAACAGACACATGAAAAAATGCTCATCATCACTGGCCATCAGAGAAATGCAAATCAAAACCACAATGAGATACCATCTCACACCAGTTAGAATGGCGATCATTAAAAAGTCAGGAAACAACAGGTGCTGGAGAAGATGTGGAGAAATAGGAACACTTTTACACTGTTGGTGGGACTGTAAACTAGTTCAACCATTGTGGAAGTCAGTGTGGCGATTCCTCAGGGATCTAGAACTAGAAATACCATTTGACCCAGCCATCCCTTTACTGGGTATATACCCAAAGGATTATAAATCATGCTGCTATAAAGACACATGCACACGTATGTTTATTGCGGCACTATTCACAACAGCAAAGACTTGGAACCAACCCAAATGTCCAACAATGATAGACTGGATTAAGAAAATGTGGCACATATACACCATGGAATACTATGCAGCCATAAAAAATGATGAGTTCATGTCCTTTGTAGGGACATGGATGAAGCTGGAAACCATCATTCTCAGCAAACTATCGCAAGGACAAAAAACCAAATACTGCATACTCTCACTCATAGGTGGGAACTGAACAATGAGAACACATGGACACAGGAAGGGGAACATCACACACTGGGGCCTGTTATGGGGTGGGGGGAGGGGGGAGGGATAGCATTGGGAGATATATCTAATGTTAAATGACGAGGTAATGGGTGCAGCACACCAACATGGCACATGTATACATATGTAACAAACCTGCACATTATGCACATCTACCCTAAAACTTAAAGTATAATAATAAAAAAAAAACAGTGAAGGCAATGCAAAGACAGAAGTGGAGAGAGATTTGAAAATGCTAAGTTGCTGGCTCTGAAGATGAAGGAAGGGGACATGAGCCAAAGAATGTAAGGCTAATGTAGCTGGAAATGAAAAGAAAAAAGACTCTCCCCTGGAGAAGGAACTAGCCCTGCCAACAATTTGACTTTAGCCTCATAAGTCTCATAGTAAACTTCTTAGCTTCAGAATTGTAAGAGAATAAAATTGTGTTGTTGTATGCCACTAAGTTTGAATAGCAGCAATAAGAAACTCATACAATATACATACTTGATGACTAATTCTACTCCTGTATACCCAACAGAACTGCATACATATGCGTACCAAAAGACATAGAATAATATTCCTACAACACTATTTATAATACACAAAATTAGAGAGTTCCAAAATTCCACCAACAATATAATGGATAAAATAATTGTGGGATTAAGTCAGGATAGTCTTAGTGGAAGGGGAGTAAAAAGAGGGCTTCTGAGATAATGGTGACATTGTTTCTCAATCTGGGTGCTGGTTACACTGATGTGTTCAGATCATGAAAATTTATCAGGCTGTACACTTATTATATGTGTACTTTTATGTTTGTCTAATATACTTAATTTAAAAAAACCAGTGTTCTGATTCACTGATGCACCTGGACTCTCTGGAGGTTACCCATGAAGGCCATAGGACCACTGGGGAAAAGACTAGAAAGACTTTGGCTCTAGACAATTTTTTATTTTTGTGAGACAAGAATCTTGCTCTGCTGCCCAGGCCAGAGTGCAGTGGCACGATCTCAGCTCGCTTCACCTCTACCTCCGAGGTTGAAGCTATTCTTGTGCCTCAGCCTCCGGAGTAGCTGGGATTACAGGCGTGCACCACCACATCTGGCTAATTTTTGTGTTTTAAGTAGAGACGAGGTTTCGCCATGTTGGCCAGGCTGGTCTGAAGCTCTTGGCCTCAAGTAATCTGCCCACCATGGCCTCCCTAAGTGCTGGGATTACAGGCATGAGCCACTGTGCCAGCCTCTAGGCAATTATTTAATGAGGTAAAAGTCTTTCATTCTGTTACTTAGGCACAGTCCTATTATGGACCACCTGATTCTACAGACATAATATACTACCTAGTTGAAAAATTCAGCTTATGTGATGTAATGGAGTTATGACATTCCTTCTTCAAGAGAGAGGTAGCTTTGTTGCAGTGGAATGACCATGGATCTGGGAGGCAAGAGATGTAGGCTTGAACTGTGGCTCTGTTACTTACTGACTTACTGTGGTATAACAAATCACTTCACTCTAAGATCATCTGTAAAATGAAAAGCTATAGGATTAACCACAATCTGTAAGAAATAAACATGATATGTAAAAACTCCCAGCTCCACTCTGTGCCTGGCCTGTAAAGAAAATTGGAGTACATGTGTTGTATCTGAAAAAGGGAGGACGATTTCACTTAGGAATGCATATAGAGTGGAGGAGATGTAGTTATGTCCCAGCCCTTGCTGTCTGATCAAACTGGACATAGAAGACCCAATATAGCACTGAGAAAAGTCCCAGAGCCTGATCTGGTTTAGGACAGGGCTGGAACAGCCTGAGATATGAGAAGAGATGTGATCTGAGGATAGGAAAATGCCGGAAGAGTAACATCCATCATCTCTAAAGGGCAAAAGTGTGGTGCAGCCATAGCAATAGGTCAGGAAGCAGGGATTCTAAGAGGTGTGTAAGAAATATAGCACTGAGTAGGTTCAGGTAAAGGTTTCAGGACACAGAATGTGAAGAGCTCTCCAGGGCTAGGAGTTCACTGCAACCTGGCACTGGCCTAATGACATGAGGGTGGTCAGAGAGTTTAAAGGGGCACCACTGGACTAGAAAATCTGGACTATTAAGAATTTCAGCAGGAAGCCTTCTCTTTAGCTAAACCCTTCACAGGTGAGGCTGGAGCTTGGCGCACACTGCCTTTCTCCCACATGTGATTTTAGGCATTCACAGATCAAATAAAAGTTTAAAAACCTATTTTGATACATGGCAATATGCAATCCAATGGTTTTCTGTTGTGTTCTATGGCCTTTCTGCTGTGTGTCTGTTTTGCTATTGATTTTAATTATGGAATATAATTTCCGGCACGAGGTCTCAAGGCAGCTCCCTCCCACGGGCCAAGCTCTTGCTAGAGCCTCCCAGAGGAAGGCGAATGGGAAAGCAGTATGACTTAGAGCTATGTGCTATTCCTTACAAAGGACACAATGGTTCTTTTCATATAAATGTCACTGCTTCGGTCTGATGCTTCTCCACTATCCCACTAAGCTTGAAGTAAGAATGAAATGTGGGACTAGAAATACTGCTTAGCTGCTGGGCTCATTTCAACAAAAAGCAAAGGAACTTGCAAAGCAGAGCCTGAAACCAGGTATATGGTATGTCCAAACTGTGAGGGAGGCCCTCAGTTTACCAAAAGTTCAGGTCTGAAAATAATATTAGCATATGGGACACACACACATTATAACCTCTTGAGGCAAAGTGCATAATTGTAAAAAGTCATGAAGTGTAAATCTGGAGATTGGGTTCTCATTCCAGCTCTGTCACTAACTACCAATAGGACCTTATATAAGCAACTCAATGTATCAGCACCTCAATCTCCTAAGCTGCAAAACAAGATCATTTGATTCAACAATTGCTTCCTCTGTGCTAAGCATTGTGCTATGTGGTTTCACTGTTTCATTTAATTACCAGAATAACTTTGCCATGGAAACATTATAATCCAAGTACTTTGGGCCATGAACTACTTCTTTTTTGTACTTATCAGTCCATACTATAATTTATTTGTGTAATGACTGCCTGTCACCCTAGACTGTGATACCTTCAGAGCAAAAGTGGGTCTGATTTGATTCTATATCCCTAGGGTCTAGGACTTGTCAGAGTAAGACACAGGCAAGAAGAAGAGAGGCTGTTAGAGATGAAAGTCAAACTGAAAACTGACTTCACTAAAAGACAACCCAGGAGCAGAAAGTCATGAGAAGGCCCTGGGGCTTTGGCTTCTTCTATAACAGAACAGCAAATTTCTGTCTGTCTCTTTAATATATGCACACAAGCATTCATTCTCTTTTTCTCTCTCTCTCATTCTAGGGTGTGGGCAGGAACAGTCCAGGGTCTGTCAGTCAAGGTCAGTACTAACAGTGTTAGGAACTGGGTACAACTTGAGGGAGCTTGCAGCAGGTCAGATTCTCCATGAAGCAAAAACTGAAGAGGAAATTAGCACTCAGGATGTTTAAGGAACACTCCTGGGTTCAAACCTGCTGAAGGAGGAGAAAGAAGTAGGAGTTGATGAAGGAAAAAGTAAACTGTGATGCAAAACTAAGGGTACCCTTGTTACACCCTTAGGGAGCTCTGGAGCTAGAATGGCTTTTCAGAGCTGTCCTAAGTTGGGCCGAGATAACCAGGCCTTTATACTCCTTCCTATATGAATCAGCCGTTGGATGTAGAGTCCTTAGGAAGGAACACAACATTGGCTGTGTACCTCTCCGTATATGAAGCAATCCCTGAAGAGGCTTACAGCTGAAGGCTGTCTGCCGAGTACACTCCCAGGAACTGGGGCAATATGTCGTCTTCAAAGGAGAATCTGGATGGTGCATCATTGTGTCCACCACAGATCTCAAGATCACCAAATCCGGACTGGCAATGCATAAGAGGCATGAAGTTCTGGTAAGACTGGATAGCTAGTGGAGAGGAACAGGTGAACATATGTCGGGGTAGAAGTCAAGTCAGGCAGCAAGGATCCTGAAGGCTGCATGCCTAGGCCAGAGATTGTAAGTCCAAGTTGGCAATGCCTGAGTCTAGGGAGTCGGGCAATGTTCACAGGGTCAGGCAGGGCTCAACTAACATAGCAGAAACAGTTTTAAAACCAGCAGCTAAGAGGGCTCCAGGAAGTAACACCAAGGAATTGGGAAAGAAGAAAACTACTATTATTATATTACGTTCCTACTCTGTGCTAGGCATTTTACATAATTTATCTCCTTTCTTTCTAGTAACTCCAAGTTAAGATGCTATATTTCACCATGCTGCAGATAAGGATGCTGAGGCTTATAAGACTTCAGTAAGGTGATTTAATCAGTAAATGGTAGGGCGGACATTCAAGTCCAAATTAATGTCTAGGAGGAAAGGACAACTCAATGAGCCTGGGTTCCAGGGCAGAGTTTCTTATGTGTATGAGACACTCAAGTCCCAGCTGAAAGAAGACTCAGACCTACAGGTTCTGTGACCTTGTGTGAATCATCCATCTACGGGTCTCAGTTTTTTCTCATGTTTCAAATGAAGAGTGAAATGAATGACTTCTAAGGAACTTTTTATTCTTTTTTTTTTTTTAATTGAGACAGAGTTTCACTCCATCACCCAGGCTGCAGTGCAGTGGTATGATCTTGGCTCACTGCAACCTCCGCCTCCCAGGTTCAATCTATTCTTGTGTCTCAGCCTCCTGAGGAGCTGAATTACAGGTGCGTGGCAGCATCCCCAGCTAATTTTTTGTATTTTTAATAGAGGCAAGGTTTCGCCATGTTGGCTAGGCTGGTCTGGAACTCCTGACCTCAAGTGATCCGCCTGATTGGCCTCCCAAAGTGCTGGGATTACAGGCATGAGCTACCATGCCTGGCCTAAAGAATGTTTTAGTTCTAAACATCTATATATGTGAACCTAATACATGGTTCTAAATAAGAATACTCTATACAGAATAATGACTAACAGCATGAATTCTGGAGTCAGAGGGATCTGTGTTTAAATCCTTACTCTTTGACAGTGTGAAATTTAGTAGGGGTGTGGGTGGGTGGCACATGCATAAGTGTGTGTGTATTGATTTGTGTCTGTGTTTGAGGTGTGATATTTTAAAAACATCCAGAAAAGTATGAGACAAATAGAGTTCAGAGGGTGTTCTGTTCCATTTTCAATCTAGGGGTTATAAAACAGACTGCCTCTAGGCTGCCCCATAGCAAATTGATTCCTGTGGGATATGAACAAAAATTAGGAAGTACTATGTTCCCCCGTGAGAGGACACAGAAGTTAGCTGAGAATCTGGCTGGGAGCTTACTAGTGAGAAGTCCTCATGTCAAAGGAGAGACTATCTGATATAGATCATAGACAAGAGAAAATATGACACCAGAAAGGACTTCTAGGCCATGATCAACTGAGAGAGGGAGAGAGATAGAGAGAGAGAGAGAGAGACAGAGAAGGGAGACACAGCACCAGCAGTAGGTTTTAGCAGCAGATACCCTTAGACGGCCAAACACAGAGCTTGGACACCTCATTGGTCTCCTATCTGAGGAACAACCCAGATCAGCCATTCCATAGCTAAGATCAAAGAGAATCCAGAGACTATCTTGTGGATCCAAAATTCCCATGGCCGCCTTCTTCTCACAAGGTCAGTACTATCAGACACTATTTTAGAGTGGAGGAGGAGGCAGGGAGGGGAAGTAAAAATCCGAGAGATCAGGCAATTTTACCTAAAGAGCAATATATCAGTATAAAGGGGTGGTTTAGTTATGGCACAGGACCAAGTTTACTGGTTTGAAATAAAAGTTTTGTTATTGTTATTTATTTTCAAGCTTCCCAGCACGTGGGGACTCCTGAGGAAGACCAGAGCTGTTTTACAGAGAGGAAAATACCATATTTTGTCTGTGTCCTATGAGTAAAATTTCTGGACTCACTATTATAAAATATTAACATAAGATTTGATGTTACAATTTTACAGTGTTAGACTTCATGTATCTCTAATGTGAGTATAGTTATTGACACATAATAGGATCTTAGTATCTGTTGAATCAGTCTAATGAATAAATAAATGAATCCATTTTGAAAAGTCAGCCTCATAACACCCCTGTGAAGTAGATAGCAGTATAATATCCATTGAAAATCTAGGCTTAGAAAGGTTAACTGAGTTGTGACAAGCCATATATAGCATATACATTTGCATTGGTGTTTGAACTTGGGTCTCTTGACTCCAAGGCCATTTCCTGGTTCCACTATCACTTGTTCTCACTTCAATCTCATGCCAGCCACAAACCCACCACTAAGATGCTGAAGGACAAAGAGAGATTTTTCTGAGGCCCATTCTAGGCCTAGGGTCCTGTCCACTGACTCATGATTCAGATTCCTATTCTGTTATGAGGCATCTGTGGTTAGCAGTTCTCACATATTCATGTCTGATATAAATTTCTACATAGCTCAGCTTAAGAATGCATAAACCACTTCCCTGGTACAGACTTCCTGCTCACACAGTAAAAGCCAATCTCCCTCAGCATTTTCAGCCCCTGTTAGTGCTTACCCAATAGTTTCTGTCTTTGGGACCCCAGATTGAGAATTTGGGATTAGAGTCTACTGTTAGAGGCTTATTATTTTTGTCTTCCTGCTTATAGCAATATTTTTGCAAAGCTGAGACAGGTCCCTTAACCCAGGACTCTCAAGATGATGCAAGCACAGTCCTGCGAACATTTCCAGAGAGGTCAGAGGGTCAAAGGTTAGACTGAAGCCCAGGCTAAAGGATTAGATTATGAACAGGGCGCCTATAAGTAAAGGCTTGAGAACAGTTTTGAAAAGTGAAAATTTAGAATGTTAAAGCTGTCAAAGACCTAAGAAAAACACCTGATACAACTGTGCAGAAGGGGAAACTGCAGCCCCAAATGCACATGAGACTGCCCACAGTCACACAGGCTGAAGTTCTATGACACGCTGGATTCGCCTTTGAAGAGTCAAGCTTCTGACTTCTCTATTCCCTGCTCCTAATCTCACATCTCTCTGTTCATTTCCTAGCAGAAGTCTCTTCCCCTAGGCTGCTCCCTCCAAATCCTTATGGAATAGGTAACTGGTACTTGTGTTACTAAGAAGATTCTACACAATCCACTTCAAAACCTAGGGAAATTTGGATACAGAGACTTTAAGCTACTTGCTAATGGTCATCTAGAAAAACATGTTCTGTTTGACTGATATCCTTCTGACTTCTGATCTCCAGACCCCAAAATCTCTTTCATCTATGTATCATGCATATTCATCATAATCCCCCCTTTCCAGTGAAACAAAATTGTGTCGACTCTTTATTACTTCCACAAAACATTCTGATTTTCACATTCAAATCCCTTAGTGATTGGGTCCCAAACTAATCTGTGCACTCGCCATTCCACCGACTCATGTTCAGCCTATTTGGAGGTTCCTTACCAGGTTAGGAACATGCTATGCACTAGCACACCTCCAAACCATGGCTCATCCTGATCTCGCCAACCTCTCTGACTTAAGCTTCTTCTTCCTCCTTCTTCACCTGCTAAATAGTTCTTATTCTTCAAGGCTAACCTCAAATGGTTCCTCCTCTGGGAGGCATTTCTGAGTCCTCATGATAGAATTTAATGTTCATTCCTTTGTGTCTCCATATCACCCTGTACCTGGATTATGGCATTTTAAGTCACATTTTAATTTTATAGTAATGTATGTGAATCCCACAGTTGACTGAATCTCCTTGAGGGAAGGATATGTTTCATTTTTATAAAAGGAATGAACATTATCATACATTAAATAGAGAAGCAGGTACAATTATTTTTTTTCAGAGATTAGAAAAGCGGACAAAAGCACGAGGATGTAGAAGATGCTTTAATATTTATTCTCCTTTCCCCTTCATTTAATATTGACACTAACTTCTTGGATTACTTATTTCCATTTTACCATGGAAGAAGGGGAGATCAGATAATTCAAGTAATTTTCCCAAGGTTACAGAGCTTAACCTTGGCAGATCTGGGATTCTACTAAATTCGTCTGAATCCAAGTTCAAGGGCTCTTTCTAGTGTAGTTCTGTTGCCTCTCATGCACTCAGCCCAAATCCAAGCCATGGAAAGAAAGCTCAGAACTCCAAATGCCCTCTCCTATAATACATCACTCTAGGCATGAACGGGCTCCAGGAGGCACTATAGGTCTGAGAACAGTTTTTATAGTTTTGAAGTGACCAAATATTCACCTCTAAATATGGCTGAGATTATTTTATTATTTGCATAGAAAAGGCACCACAGACTGCCCTGTTTACCAATTCTTCTTTCCTCCCACACAAGAATCCTCCTAGAGCTGGGAGATATCACATTTCTTACACGAAAAATGGGCTAACAGCAATCTGAATTTCAATCTCTAGCCTAAACCTTCTGTTTCAAACCAGTACTAAATATTTTGCTGATATGCATTTGTTATTTTAAGTGGAATGCATTATACCAGACTCACAGCAGACATTATGCATTTATTTATTTATTTTAGGCATTGACATTAAGAGTATAGCTCTCTACTAAGCACTGAATGGCTTAATGTAAGCAAGTGCTGCCAGGTGGGAGGACAGGCATGGCTTTTGCAGACTTTCCCTGGATAGAGAGGGCGCAGTGAAACGGAACTGTAGAATTATGTTCCCAAGAACCAGACCCAAGAAGCTCTCTCAAGCACAATGTTTGCGAACAGCAAGAAACAACAGGACACAGGGATTATTTAAGAGGTCTCTGAGAGCCTGTAGGATCATAGAACTGTTACTTGGAAGGGTTCTTAGAGATCTGTCCATGCCCCACCTGTTACAGCTGGGGAAAGTGTGTTACAGAGAGAAGAGACAGCGTACCTAACATTACACAGTGAGCTAGTGGAGAGAGTTAGGACCGGAATAAGGAAATGCTGATATCCTGGTCCCAATACCATCCACTTTGCATTATTCTTCAGGAAAAAATATGGGAGCATCTAAGCATAATATTAATGAGTGCAAGCTTTAGAGTAAGTGGGACCTGTGTCTGCATTCTGTGTAACTCAGTAGCTGTGTGACATAGTAGCTGTGTAACATGAGAATGTTCCTCAATCTCGCTGAGCTTCAGTCCCCTTATCTGCAAAATGAAGTAATAAGAATAGCTACCTCATAAGAGTACCTAATTCATAGAATTAATCTGAGGATAAAATGTGCAAATGTATGGAAAACTCTTAGCACAGTGTCTGACACAATAAATTCTCAATAAATGTTCCTTTTTTTGATGATAATCCAATTGCTACTACATTCTTTTTCATCTCTTGATTAACTCCAAGGGCAAAATTAGAAGTACTGACTAAACTCTTTTTATAGAAAGGACAAAGGAACATAAAAACCCCTTTAAAATGGAAGAAGGAGCTAATATCATTTCTTAAGTGAGACAAGGTTAATGTAACTTGAAAACATATCTTTTACAGCCTTATCTAGGAGTTCAGTTTACCTAACCACAGTAGATTCAAAATATCTCTTTCTTTGGTGACGGACCCCAGTGCTGGCTGGTTGTTCTCAAAGCAATTCTGAAAGACTAGAGAACTACACCACATTCCAGATATATCCATAACGGGCAGTGAATGTTTCTAGTTAATTCTCTCTTGATACTGCCTTTACCAAAAGGGTTTTACCTTGCTTAAATCACACATACATACCTCACATATGCTTGTCACTCCAATCATCAGCAGAAACAACACTGAGTTCAATAATACACATTTTTATTTGTCTTTGTATACCAGGACCCAGGGCCAACTTCTGAGTATGTTCATTTTGAATTTCAGTGAAGGGTGTTATCATATGTTTGTCCTAAGAGAAGCAGTGTGGAAGATACTGCTTGGATGGCTACTGAATTCCCAGTGATTCTGCATTCCTTGGAAATGGGCCTAGTGACCAGAGGTAGGCACATGGCTGTGTCTGTCCAATATGATCCTGCCCTAGGCATAGTTCACTGAACCATAAGTCAATATCTGACCTAAGCAAGGACCCATTCCTTCTCTGAGAAATTTAGAACTGGAAATGGAGAGACAAGACTAGTTTTGTTGACACTGAGTCATATTCATGTTAATATCTGAGTAGGCATTCCATGAATTTCTACTGCTAAGGTTCCCCAAGGAGTGCCTGAAGGATTTACCCAAGGCTTTGTTCCTCAACTATCCTTTAAATTCTATGAAAGACCTTAATATCCTTCCAATATTATTGTCTCATTTTGTTGTTCTCTTTTATTTATAACCAAGAACAACTTTACTAGCAAAAGTGGGGTAGAAAATTATCTTGTAATGGTTAACACTACTTTTTCTTGAAAAGGGAACTTCCCTTTTTTGGAAAAATACTATGATAAGCTACTTGGGGATAGAAAATGAAATCCTAAGATCATGAGGTTCAACTGACAAAGAAACAAAAGGTGAAGTTTCTGTAGTTCATAAGAAATAAACAGGAATTTATAGATGGAACAAGCAGAGAAGAAAGGAAAGTGGGAGAAATGAATTAAAATATATACAGACAGTCTTCAATTTATGATGAATCGAACTGATGGTCTTCAGCTGTGTACTTCAATAATTAGTACTCATATAGCCATTCTATATTTTTACTTTCAGTACTGTATTTAATAAATTACATGAGATATTCAAAACTTTAGTATAAAATAGGCTTTGAGTTAGATGATTTTGCCCAACTGTAGGCACATTTAAGGTAGGCAAGGCTAAGTTATAATGTTTGGTAGGTTAGATATATTAAATGTATTTTCAATGTAATATTTTCAACTTACAATAGGTTTATGGGGATGTAACATCATTTTTAAGCAGAGAAGTTAGGAGTATCTGTACAAGGATTAGGATATGGAGAAGATGAAGCCCAAAATAATATAAATGGTTAAAGATGTCTTAAGAGCAGGTGTGACTAAAATTAAAGTTTAATGTTGTTTGCATTGCTGTAACATAAAGTCCTTCCATCTCCCCAAATCTTCAGGAAAGTCTGTTCTACACATAAAGACTTCATATAGTGGATTAATTGTCTGTGTGTATATATGCCTGTGGGCATGTATGAATATGTGTATGTGTGTGTGTGTGTGTGTGTGAGAGAGAGAGAGAGAGAGAGAGAGAGAGAGAGAGAGAGAGACAATATTTACATGTATCCAAGAGAAGGGTTGAATTCCTTGCCTGGGTCAATAAGAACATCATATGCAGGATAGGGGGATGATCAATAAACTGACCTAATACAGGGAGCTATGAGCCAATAATATTCAGAATACAAAAATTTACCCCAACCCACAGAAACCTCTGGGAGAGATTGGAAGGGATATAGAGCTCCCAGTACCCATAGGGTGGGGGCTTTGTGCTAATTTTACTTGAATCTTTGACAAATAAACCTAAAAACCCACTTCAGGTGACATCTAATTTACAGAGCCTATTTGGACAAGTGACCTTGGCAAGTTATCTCTCTTTCTGCTTCAGATCCTTAGTCCAGCCAGGATTGCTACCAGGGATCTTCACTTTCAACCCTCTGCACTGTAAGAACGTTGGGGCAGACAGGCCATTCCATAGCTACTTCTCTGATATCAGAATGTTCGTATATATTCATCCTGTTGTTACCTATGAATTCTTTTGTTCATGTATCCACTCATTCAACAAATATTAATTAGCCATCCATTATGTGTTAGCCACTATTCTAGATACCTGGGATACACCAGCGAATAAAACAGGAAAATCCCTATTCTTCCCTTCTGGGACACCAGAATTTAAATAATAGGAAGTTTTGGTACAGTTTAAACAAGAATAAAATAAAGTAGAAAAAAGAAAAGCAGGTAAGGAGAAGGGAAAGGTGGGGGAATCTCTGTTTAATGAGAGCACAGGAGCTTTTCTGGTGATTGCAAACCAAATGAACAAAACTGTATCTAGAGTCTCCAAGCCATCATAGAAACTACTTTCTGCAAGTAATGGTTCTGGAAGTACAAGGCCTCATACTGCCATCAGAGTGAGCAAAGCATGCTGGGAGGCCTCATCTCTTTGCACTGTCAGGGGAGAACGTTCAGTGTTATTGACAAAATAGTGAATGATTTCTTAATAGAATACAGTCAGCAGAGACAGGGGTTATGGCATAATTAACATAACATGAATTTTTTAAAACCCCATGTGCCACCTGCCAGCAGGAGATAGGCCAGAGACAGAGAAGGGGTGACAGCCGGACAGAGGTTTGCTCCACTCTTCACCCTACAGCATTTGTTAAGGCCCTAAATCTGGGTCCAGTAGGTATGGCAAAGTGCACTAAACTGCAGACAGGAGAACGCCCTCAGTTCTGCCATGAACTCACTGTGTGACCTTCAGCAAGTTCCACCCCTTCTCTGGGCCCTTCATCCAGTTACCTACCTGAAAAATGAGGGGGTTGGATCAAATGATCCTCTAGACATGGGTTTTTCAAACATTCTATTATAACTTTTAAGCACAACCTCCTTTTTCAAAAAACTTTACCTAAAGCCCTATAACCTTAAGCAACTGAAAGCAGAACTGCTCTAAGTGTAATAGCAGCAGCTGGGGACAGATAGGAATTCATCTTCTCTCCTCGGTAGCATCACCTTTTACTTCCCTGGATTGGGGAGAAGGTTTCCCCAGTCATCTTAGCTACACCCCTTCTGCTCTCTGAGGGAACAGCTACTGTGGAAGCCATCACCCACCCAGTGAATCTAGCACTGGAGTGCACTGTCTGCCTCAACTGGAAGGCTGTTAGGGCTCTTCTCACCAAACTTGACCTTTGAATTTCCCTCAGTCCCTGCTAGAATCTCAAAATCCCTCTGGCATCTATCTTGACCTGACTATTACTCTCCACCTGGGTGGGGCCATCCCTTAATCTAATCCAATCTCTCACCTTCTCCGTCCTTCCTTCCTCCCAGTGTCCACTCAGAATAATGTAATACTGCCCACCTCACAGAGTAGTTTTGCAAGTAAAATGAATTAATATATGTTAGTATTTAGTAGAGTGCTTGGCACATAACAAGCATTATTAGAGTATTTTTTACTATTGTTAATTTTATTGTTGTTGTGAATAGTATTTTCTAGGTGCCAGCAATACCATGGCTTAAACTCTGGTGAATCACTAGATTGACTAATCTTAATTTACCTACCAACAGCTTTCATTTTTGCCTCACTGATTCCACCTTTCCCCGTCCACTTTCATTTTTCTTACTGACTTCTATATTCATGCATCATCCAACATCACAGATTTTAACCCCAATACTATGTTTTTAGCAAATAGAACAATGCCTGGCTCACAATAAGCCATCAATAAGTACTTTCTGAATGAATAATAAAAAAAACTCCAATTATCTTTTTTCTCACTCCATTTCAGCTCCCGTCACCTCATCTCTCCCCCATCAACACACACATTCTACCCTGTCTACAATCTCAGATGTCCATATTGTGTTCTCCAAGTGCAACTTTCAAACTAATTTGCATTGGCATTTACACTACAATAACTATTTGAAATCTAATCCATTGATCTTATTACTTGATAGCCATCAGTCCCCTTCCTGTTTTCTCCTCCCTTCAATGTCCACATTTATAATTATTTCCTCACAAACACTTTCAATTCCTTTGCCTCTAGCCATGTTTTTCTCATGTGGCAAAACTCAAACCCAGAATGAATTCTTCCACCTACCTTATCCAGGCCCCAAATAATGAGAAAATCACATATCTAAGTAGAAGGATTACAATTTACATTCATTATATCAGTCTGCACACAACTGTTATCACTGAAACAATTATACAGGGCTATCATGGTAAGTAGGTTTCTCATTTTTTTCTCTAAAAAAAGTTCAGACCTTCTTCTATTTATTGAAAACCATTATTCTTTTTCCCTTACCACCATTCTTAGAGGGTAGGAGCATCCTCTTATTCCCTCAGCCAAAGTTAGAAACATGCCTATGTCTTTCTATAATCCTGTTAGCATGGATAAAGGTGTCCTTCTTAACAAAGGCCTTTTGCATGTCCCCTGGATCCCCTGCCTCTCACTTGCTCAAGGACTGTACTCTTAGTTATCTCCCACTTTTTCTGAATTGTCGGTACTGCTGTCTCCCTGGATCATTACTATTAGCAAACAACCTTGACCCCGTGACTCAACACTCCATCCACCATCAGCTGCTGCCCATTTCTCTGCTCCTCTTCTTGGTCAAACTTCTGCATATGCATATGCTTATTCTTCAGTGACAATTCAATTCAGTCTACTCTTGATTTTCCTCCTACCTCTGGCCATTTATTTTCTGATTTTTATGTGGGCCTCTTCTCTTCTGTCCAACCTCAAACGATGGAAATTTCCCAGGGTGTGATCTCCATAGAAGCCAATGTATTTTTTAAAAAGCATATCAATTTGGATAAATGTAAGCCTCCTCCCCCCAAAAAAGTCTTCAATGTCTTCTAATGTAGATTTCAAGACCTATCTGACTTTAGCCCTGCGTCTCTCTCTAACTTCATCTTCTATTACATGTTTCCTTTCAATTCGTTGAATTTTTTTTTTTTTTTTTTGAGATGGACTCTCGCTCTGTCACCCAGGTTGGAGTGCAGTGGCGTGATCTCGCCTCACTGCAAGTTTCGCCTCCCAGGTTCACGCCATTCTCCTGCTTCAGCCTCCCAATAGCTGGGAGTACAGGCGCCTGCCACCACGCCCGGCTAATTTTTTGTACTTTTAGTAGAGACGAGGTTTCACCGTGTTAGCCAGGATGGTCTCAATCTCCTGACCTCCTGATCCGCCCGCCTTGGCCTCCCAGATTGCTGGGATTACAGGCATGAGCCACCGCACCTGGCCCAATTCCTTGAATTCTATATAATGTCTTTCCCACTAGAGGCTTTCAGCCATTCTCTTCCTTCTATTTGGCATGATCTTCTGTGCCCCACACTTCATTCCTTCTAAATATTCAATCTTCAGATTAAATGTACTGTCACCTCCACAGAGAGGCTTCTTTTGACCATATCATCTAAGTATGTCTCTCATGCCATCTTCTAACACTAAACATGATAAGTTATAATAGCTTATCACAGTTTTAAATTATATATGTATTTCATTGCTTACTTGTGTACAGTCTCTCTTTACCATCATATTAGAAAGCCCATGAAAGATTAAATTAAAATCCCATCAGATTAAATAAGATACCATATTTGCATTCTACTTACTGAAGTATACTTTGTCCCCAGCACAAAGTCTGTGCTCAGTAAATATCTGTTAGATAATGTTCAATAAACTCTAGGACCACAAAGACTATATTTTGAATGATATTTGATTATACTGTAAGCTTTCTAAGGACAATGATTGATCTAATTTATTTCTATTTCTCCAGCATTTGGCATAGGCAGAGTAGGTTATCAGGGAAGGCTTTCAGAATTAAATTGAGATGCATTCTTTGAGTCTGATATTTCAAGTAACATAATGTAGTAGTTTCACAATCCTAGCAACTGCCTAGCTTTGTCTGTGTTCTACTTAGTTAAAATTTTAAAGACTCTGAAAGGGGCAACATGTATAACATGTGTGAGGTCTGAGATTTGAAGTGATTAAGGCATACTTGGAATTCCAACTTTTTCACCTCAGTAGCTAATAGTTGTAATTGGTTAATGTTTGAGGATCTGTTTTCTGGAGTATAACATAGTGATAGAAATAGAGTTCCTTTGAAGATTAAATAAGATACCGTATTTGAAATAACAGACACATACAGGCATACAATGCTAACAACCATCTGAGCCTTCAGAGAGTCATCATCTTTTTGCTGGTGGAGGGTTTGCCTTCATGTTCACGGCTACTGACTGATCAGGGTGCTATTGTTGAAGGTTGGAGTAGCTGTGGCAATTCTTAAAATAAAACAACAATAAACTTTGCTGCATCAATTGACTCTTCCTTTCATGAAAACTTTCTCTGTAGCATGCGATACTGTTTGACAGCATTTTACCCACAGTAGAACTTTTTTCAAAATTGGACTCAATCCTCTCAAACCCTGCCACTGCTTTAATAACGAAGGTTAGAATATCAAAAGTAGCTTTGATGTGATTTCAAAAATGTTCACAGTATTTTCACTGGGGGTAGATTCTATCTCAAGAAACTACTTTCTTTGCTCATCAATAAGAAGCAACTCCTCATCCATTCAAGTTTTATCATGAGATTGTAGCAATTCAGTCACATCTTCAGGCTCCACTTCTAATTCTAGTTATCTTGACATTTCCAGCATGTCTGCAGTTATTTCCTTCACTGAAGTCTTGAACCCCTCATAGCTATTCATAAGAAATGGAATTAACTTATTCTGAACTCCTGTGAATGCTGATACTTTGACCTTCTCTCATGAATCACAAATCTTCTTTTTAATTTTTTTTTTTTTTTTGAGATGGAGTCTTGCTTTGTCACCCAGACCAGAGTGCAGTGGCGCAATCTCGGCTCACTGCGAGCTCTGCCTCCCAGGTTGCGCCATTCTCCTGTCTCAGCCTCCTGAGTAGCTGGGACTACAGGCGCCTGCCACCACGCCTGGCTAATTTTTTGTATTTTTAGTAGAGACGGGGTTTCACCATGTTAGCCAGGATGGTCTTGATCTCCTGACCTCGTGATCCACCCACCTCGGCCTCCCAAAGTTCTGGGATTACAGGCATGAGCCACCGCACCCGGCCTTAAATTTTTTTTGACAAGGAGTTTTGCTCTGTCACCCAGGCTGGAGCGCAGTGGTGTGATCTCAGCTCACTGCAACCTCCACCTCCCAGGTTCAAGGGATTCTCATGCCTCAGCTTCCTGAGTAGCTGGGACTACAGGCACAAACCACCACACCAGGCTATTTTTTTTTTTGTATCTTTTTTAGTAGAGATGGGGTTTGACCATGTTGGCAAGGCTGTTCTTGAACACTTGACCTCAGTTGATCCACCTGCCTCAGCCTCCCAAAGAGCTGGGCTTACAGCCATGAGCCACTGCGCCCAGACACAAATGTTCTTATTGGCATCTAAAATCGTAAGGATTTTCTAGAAGGTTTTCAGTTTACTTTACCTAGACCCATCAGAGAAATCATTATCTATGGCAGCTATAGCCTTATAAAATGTATTTCTTAAATAAGAAGACTTGAAAGTTGAAATAACTTGTTAATCCATGAGTTGCAAAATGGATGTAGCGTTAGCAGGCATGAAAACAGCATTCATCTGTATATCTCCATCAGAGCTCTTGGGTGACCATGTGCATTGTCAGTGAGCTGTAATATTTTTGAAGAATTTTTTTTTTCCCTGAGAAGTAGGTCTCAACAGTAGGCTTAAAATATTTAGCAAACCATGCTATAAACAAATGTACTGTCAACCAGGCTTAGTGGTTGCATTTCTGGAGCACAAACAGAGGATATTTTTTATAATTCTTGGGATTTTCAGAATGGTCAGTGAGCATTGGCTTCAACTTAAAGTCATCAGCTCCATTAGCTCCTCACAAGAGAGTCAGCCTGTCCTTTGAAGCCTTGAAGCCAGGCATTGACTTCTCCTCTCTAGCTATGAAAGTCCTATATGACATCTTCTTTCAATATAAGATGTGTCTACATTGAAAATGTGTTATTTAGTGAGCCACCTTCATCAGTCATCTTAGCTAGATCTTTTGGATAACCTGTTGCAGTTTCTATATTAGCACTTGCTGCTTCACCTTGCACTTTTTATGTTATGGAGACAGCTTCTTTCTTTAAACCATATGAACCAACCTCTGCTAACTTCAAACTTTTCTTCTGCACCTTCTTCATCCTTCTCAGCCTTCAAATAATTGAGGAGAGTTAGAGCCTTGATCTGGATTAGGCTTTGGCTTAAGGAAATGTTGTGGCTGGTTTGATCTTCTATCCAGACCACTAAAACTTTCTCCAAATCAGCAATAAGGCTGTTTTGCTTTCTTATGATTTGTGTATTTACTGGCAGAACACTTTTTATTTTCTTCAAGAATTTTTCATTTGCATAAACAACATGACTGTTTGGTGGAAGAAGCCTATCTTTCTTCCTAACTCAGCTTTCAAGATACCTTCCTTACTAAGATTAATAATTTCTAGCTTTTGATCTAATGTGACAGACATGTGACTCTTCCTTTCATTTGAACACTCAGAGACCACTGGAGGGTTATTAATTGGCCTAATTTTAATATTGTTGTGTCTCAGGGAATACAGGGGCCTGAGGTGAGGAAGGAGAAGGGCTGATCAGTGGAGCTTTCAGAACACATACAACATTTATCGATTAAGTTTGTTGTCTTTTATGGTCATGGTTTGTAGCACCCCAAAACAATTACAATAGTAGCATCAAAGATCACTGATTACAAATCACCATAGCAGATATAATAATAATGAAAAAGTTTGAAATATTGCAAGAATTACCAAGATGTGACACAGAGACATGACTAAGTACATGGTGTTGGAAAAATGATGCCAATAGACTTGCTGAACACAGGGTTGTCACAAACCTTAAATTTGAAACAAAAACAAAAATAAAAACAAAAAACCAACACAGTATCTGTAAAGTGCAATAAAGCAAAATGCTATAAAATGAGGTATATCTGTAGTTGGTTTATAATGAAAGTTAACTCCTCATTTAGCATTTAATAAAGAATCCTGTTTGGGCTGGAAGTGTTCTTGGAGATCATTCAGATAACTCTTCTGATTTTACAGATGGGAACTTGTTTAGGGTCACACAAAATATCAATACAAAGGCTGAAATTAGTATGTGTATCTTTTCTGTGTATTATTTTTCTTCTACTGAAAAGAGAATATTATAAAATTCTATGGTGTAGTTTTAGGAACGGAAAAGGTACTACTGTAATATCACAGTGGACATGCTCAGAAAATGTACTACTGTAATATCATTGTGGACATGCTCTTAAAGAGAATCTTAAAACTTGTAGATAGACAAAATTTTTAAGGCAATAGCCTGTATTTATATCCCAAAGCTGTTATCTACTCCAATTTGGTCAATAAATATATACGTGTACATATGCATGTGTGTGTTTGGAGGGAGAGAGAGAGAGAGGGAGAGATAGAAAGAGAGAGAAAGAATCCGGTATACTCTATATTTGGGCTGGGATGAATGAGACTTCCAAGTAAAATCCTCATTGAAATTGTTATAATATTAAGACAGGCAAAGTACACATGTTATTCAACACGAAGTTAATTTCAATTCTAAGATACAAATCCCCCCCCATTTTATATCTCTGAAATTCAGATAAATCTTACAATCTCTACTGTGACAGTCATGACCCATTGACATTGCCTGAGTACACATATCAAAACCTGGTAATGTGTCGGTGGCTGGGGAGAAGAATACCAAGATGACAGTAGACAATTTGAAGAAATGCTGTATCTCCATGTTCTTAAAGGCACTGAAGATGCTACTGTGTGGAAAAATGTGTTTCTTGGCAACTCTGAGTCCAAAAGTAATTAAGAGAAATTGGATCCTGAATGTTTTCAAAATACTTTAACCTTTTATTTGTATGTCTTTGAAAAATTATGCACGAGATATCTATGATTTTTTAAAAATCTCTGTATAAGTATGTTTTTTAAAGCTCTTTCAAAGAGTAGAATATAAAAATTCGATATATTAAGAAAGCATTGTGCCAGAGTTTAATTGGCAACATTTTTCTTCTTTTTAAAATTTTTTTATTATACTTTAAGTTCTAGGGTACATGTGCACAACGTGCAGGTTTGTTACATAGGTATACGTGTGCCATGTTGGTTTGCTGCACCCATCAACTCGTCATTTACATTACATATTTCTTCTAATGCTATCCCTCCTCCATATCCCCACCCCGCCAACAGGCCCTGGTGTGTGATACTCCCCATCCTGTGTCCAAGTATTCTCATTGTTGAATTCCCACCTATGAGTGAGAACATGTGGTGTTTGATTTTTTGTCCTTGTGATAGTTTGCTGAGAATGATGTTTTCCAGCTTCATCCATGTCCCTGCAAAGGACATGAACTCATCCTTCATTATGGCTGCATAGTATTGCATGGTGTGTATGTCCCACATTTTCTTGATCCATTCTATCATTGATGGACATTTGGGTTAGTTCCAAGTGTTAGCTATTGTGAATAGTGCCACAATAAACATATGTGTGCATGTGTCTTTATAGTAGCATGATTTATAAACCTTTGGGTATATACCCAGTAATGGGATTGCTGGGTCAAATGGTATTTCTAATTCCAGATACTTGAGGGATCGGCACAGTGGCTTCCACAATGGTTGAACTAATTCACACTCCCACCAACAGTGTAAAAGCACTTCTATTTCTCCACATCCTCTCCAGCATCTGTTGTTTCCTGACTTTTTAATGATTGACATTCTAACTGGCGTAAGATGAAATCTCATTGTGGTTTTCATTTGCATTTCTCTGATGACCAGTGATGATGAGCATTTTTTCATGTGTCTGTTGTCTGCATAAATGTCTTCTTTTGAGAAGTGTCTGTTCATATCCTTTGCCCACTTTTTGATGGGGTTTTTTTTTTTCCTTGTAAATTTGTTTGAGTTCTTTGTAGATTCTGGATATTAGCCCTTTGTCAGATTGGTAGTTTGCAAAAATTTTCTCCCATTCTGTAGGTTGCCTGTTCACTCTGATGGAAGTTTCTCTGGCTGTGCAGAAGCTCTTTAGTTTAATTAGATCCCATTTGTCTATTTTAGCTTTTGTTGCCATTGCTTTTGGTGTTTTAGTCATGAAGACCTTGCCCATGCCTATGTCCTGAATGGTATTGCCTAGGTGTTCTTCTAGGGTTTTTATGGTTTTCGATCTAACATTTAAGTCTTCAATCCATCTTGAATTAATTTTTGTATAAGGTGTAAGGAGGGGATCCAGTTTCAGCTTTCTACATATGGCTAGCCAGTTTTCCCAGCACCATTTATTAAATAGGGAATCCTTTCCCCACTGCTTGTTTTTGTCAGGTTTCTCAAAGATCAGATGGTTGTAGATGTGTGGTGTTATTTCTGAGGCCTCTTTTCTGTTGCATTAGTCTATATATCTGTTTTGGTACTACTACCATGCTATTTTGGTTACTGTAGCCTTGTAGTATAGTTTGAAGTCAAGTAGCGTGATGCCTCCAGCTTTGTTCTTTTTGCTTAGGATTGTCTTGGCAATATGGGCTCTTTTTTGGTTCCATATGAACTTTAAAGTAGTTTTTTCCAGTTCTGTGAAGAAAGTCATTGGTAGCTTGATGGGGATGGCATTGAATCTATAAATTACCTTGGGCAGTATGGCCATCTTCACTGTATTGATTCTTCCTATCCATGAGCATGGAATATTCTTCCATTTGTTTGTGTCCTCTTTCATTTCCTTGAGCAGTGGTTTGTAGCTCTCTTTGAAGAGGTCCTTCACATCCCTTGTAAGTTGGATTCCTAGGTATTTTATTCCCTTTGTAGCAATTGTGAATGGGAATTCTCTCATGATTTGGCTCTCTGTCTGTTATTGGTGTATAGGAATGCTTGTGATTTTTGCACATGGATTTTGTATCATGAGACTTTGCTGAAGTTGCTTATCAGCTTAAGGAGATTTTGGGCTGAGACGATGGGGTTTTCTAAATATATGATCATGTCATCTGCAAACAGGGACAATTTGACTTCCTCTTTTCCTAATTGCATACCCTTTATTTCTCTCTCTTGCCTGATTGCCCTGGAGAGAACTTCCAACACTATGTTGAATAGGAGTGGTGAGAGAGAGCATCCTTGTCTTGTGCTGGTTTTCAAAGGGAATGCTTCCAATTTTTGCCTATTCAGTATGATATTGGCTGTGGGTTTGTCATAAATGGCTCTTATTAATTTGAGATACATTCCATCAATATGTAGTTTATTGAGAGTTTTTAGCATGAAGTGCTGTTGAATTTTGTCAAAGCCCTTTTCTGCGTTTATAGAGATAATCATGTGTTTATGTGATCGATTACATTTATTGATTTGCATATGTTGAACTGGCCCTGCATCCCAGGGATGAAGCTGACTTGATTGTGGTGGATAAGCTTTTTGATGTGCTGCTGGATTTGGTTTGTCAGTATTTTATTGAGGATTTTCACATCATGTTCAGCAGGGATATTGGTCTAAAATTCTCTTTTTTTGTTGAATCTCTGCCAGGCTTTGGTATCAGGATGATGCTGGTCTCATAAAATGAGTTAGGGAGGATTCCCTCTTTTTCTATTGATTGGAATAGTTTCAGATGGAATGGTACCAGCACCTCTTTGTACCTCTGGTAGAATTCGGCTGTGAATCCATCTGGTCCTGGACTTTTTTTGGTTGGTAGGCTATTAATTATTGCCTCGATTACAGAACCTGTTATTGGTCTATTCAGAGATTCAACTTCGTCTTGGTTTAGTCTTGGGAGGGTGTATGTGTCTAGGAATTTATCCATTTCTTCTAGATTTTCTAGTTGATTTGCGTAGAGATGTTTATAGTAATCTATGATAGGAGTTTGTATTTCTGTGGGATTGGTGGTGATATCCTCTTTATCATTTTTTATTGCATCTATTTGATTCTTCTCTCTTTTCTTCTTTATTAGTCTTGCTAGTGTTCTATCAATTTTGTTGATCTTTTCAAAAAACCAGCTCCTGGATTCATTGATTTTTTGAAGGGTTTTTCGTGTCTCTATCTCTTTCAATTCTGCTCTGATCTTAGTTATTTCTTGCCTTCTGCTAGCTTTTGAATGTGTTTGCTCTTGCTTCTCTAGTTCTTTTAATTGTGATGTTAGGGTGTCGATTTTAGATCTTTTCTGCCTTCTCTTGTGGGTATTCAGTGCTATAAATTTCCCTCTACACACTGCTTTAAATGTGTTCCAGAGATTCTGGTACATTGTGTCTTTGTTCTCATTGGTTTCAAAGAACATCTTTATTTCTGCCTTCATTTTGTTATTTACCCAGTAGTCATTCATGAGTACGTTGTTCAGTTTCCATGTAGTTGTGTGGTTTTGAGTGAGTTTCTTAATCCTGAGTTCTAATTTGATTGCACTGTGGTCTGAAAGAGAGTTTGTTGTGATTTCTGTTCTTTTACACTTGCTGAGGAGTGCTTTACTTCCAACTATGTGGTCAATTTTCGAATAAGTGTTATGTGGTGCTGAGAAGAATGTATATTCTGTTGATTTGGGGTGGAGAGTTCTGTACATATCTATTAGGTCCACTTGGTCCAGAGCTGAGTCCAAGTCCTGGATATCTTTGTTACCCTGCTGTCTTGTTGTGCAGTGTTAAAGTCTCCCACTATTACTGTGTAGGAGTCTAAGTCTCTTTGTGGGTCTCTAAGGAGTTCCTTTATGAATCTGGGTGCTCCTGTATTGGGTGCATATATATTTAGGATAGTTAGCTCTTCTTATTGAATTGATCCCTTTATTATTATGTAATGGCCTTCTTTGTCTCTTTTGGTCTTTGTTGGTTTAAAGTCTGTTTTATCAGAGACTAGGATTGCAACACCTGCTTTTTTTTGCTTTCCATTTGCTTGGTAGATCTTTCTCCATCCCTTTATTTTGAGCCTATGTGTGTCTCTGCATGTGAGATGGGTCTCCTGAATACAGCACACCGATGGGTCTTGACTCTATCCAATTTGCCAGTCTGTGTCTTTTAATTGGAGCATTTAGCCCATTTACATTTAAGGTTAATATTGTTATGTATGAATTTGATCCCATCATGATGTTAGCTGGTTATTTTGCCCGTTAATTGATGCAGTTTCTTTATAGCATTGATGGTCTTTACAATTTGGCATGTTTTTGCAGTGGCTGGTACCAGTTGTTTCTTTCCATGTTTAGTGCTTCCTTCAGAAGCTCTTGTAAGGCAGGCCTGTTTGTGACAAAATCTATCAGCATTTGCCTGTCTGTAAAGGATTTTATTTCTCCTTCACTTATGAAGCTTAGTTTGGCTGGGTATGAAAAGTTGAAAAGTCTTTTCTTGAAAAAAGTTGAAAAGTCTTTTCTTCAAGAATGTTGAATATTGGCCCCCACTCTCTTCTGGCTTGCAGGGTTTCTGCCGAGAGATCTGCTGTTAGTCTGATGGGTTTCCCTTTGTGAGTTACCTGACCTTTCTCTCTGGCTTCCCTTAACATTTTTTCCTTGGTGCCTTAACATTTCAACCTTCGTGAAACTGACAATTATGTGTCTTGGGGTTGCTCTTCTCAAGGAGCATCTTTGTGGTGTTCTCTATATTTCCTGAATTTTAATATTGGCCTGTCTTGCTAGGTTGGGGAAGTTCTCCTGGGTAATATCCTGAAGAGTGTTTTCTAACTTGATTCCATTCTCCCCATCACTTTCAGGTTCACCAATCCAACATAGATTTGGTCTTTTCTCATAGTCCCATATTTCTTGGAGGCTTTGTTAATTTCTTTTTCCTCTTTTTCCTCTAACCTTGCCTTCTTGCTTTATTTCATTAATTTGATCTTCAATCACTGATACCCTTTCTTCCACTTGATCGAATGGGCTACTGAAGCTTGTGCTTGTGTCATGAAGTTCTCATGCCATGGTTTTCAGCTCCATCAGGTCATTTCAGGTCTTCTATATACTGTTTATTCTAATTAGCCATTTGCCTAACCTATTTTCAAGGTTTTTAGCTTCCTTGTGATGGGTTCGAACATGCTCCTTTAGCTTGGAGAAGTTTGTTATTACCAACCTTCTGAAGGCTACTTCTGTCAACTCATCAAAGTCATTCTCCATCCAGCTTTGTTCCATTGCCGGCGAGGAGCTGCAATCCTTTGGAGGAGAAGAGGCACTCTGGTTTGTAGAATTTTCAGCTTTTCTGCCTTGGTTTCTCCCCATATTTGTGGTTTTATCTACCTTTGATCTTTGATGTTGGTGACCTACAGATGAGGTTTTGTTGTAGATGCCTTTTTTGTTGATGTTGATGCTATTCCTTTCCTTTGTCAGTTTTCCTTCTAACAGGTCCCTCAGCGGCAGGTCTGTTGGAGTTTGCTGGAGGTCCACTCCAGAACCTGTTTATCTGGGTATCATCAGCAGAGGCTGCAGAACAGCAAATACTGCTGCCTGATCCTTCCTCTGGAAGCTTTGTCTCAGAGAGGCAGCAACCTATATGAGGTGTCTGTCGGCCCCTACTGGGAGGCGTCTCCCAGTTAGGCTACACAGGAGTCAGGGACCCACTTGAGGAGGCAGTCTGTCCATTCTCAGAGCCCAAACGCCATGCTGGGAGAACCACTGCTCTCTTCAGAGCTGTCAGACATGGACGTTTAAGTCTGCAGAAGTTGTCTGCTGCCTTTTGTTCAGCTATGTCCTGCCCACAGAGGTGGAGTCTATAGAGGCAGCAGGCCTTGCTGAGCTGCAGTGGGCTCCGCCCATTTCGAGCTTCCCAGCTGCTTTGTTTACCTACTCAAACCTCAGCAATGTCAGACGCCCCTCCCCAAGCCAGGCTGTCCCCTCACAGTTTGATCTCAGACTGCTGCGCTAGCAGTGAGCAAGGCTCCGTAGGCATGGTACCAACCGAGCCAGGCACGGGAGAGAATCTCCTTGTCTGCCAGTTGCTAAGACCTTGGGAAAAGCGCAGTATTTGGGTGGAAGTGTCCCATTTTTCCAGGTACACACTGTCACAGCTTCCCTTGGCTAGGAAAGGGAAATCCCTCAACCCCTTGCACTTCCCAGGTGAGGCAACGCCCTGCCCTGCTTTGCCTCGCCCTCCATGGGCTGCATCCACTGTCCAACCAGTCCCAATGAGATGAACCAGGTACCTCAGTTGGAAATGCAGAAATCACCAGTTTTCTGTGTTGATCACGCTGGGAGCTGCAGACCGGAGCTGTTCCTATTTGTCCATCTTGGAACAGACCCCACATTTTTTTTTCTTAGTAATACATAAAGTAATGGTATATCTTAACAGTTGATGGCTTCCTAAATTTGATGAAATGTGGTATGTCACACCACATAAATAAAATGCTGCAGGCCACATGACACTTTCTAACAAAAATATTCCAATCACATTAATCTTGTACTGATTAACAACAATTTAGGTTTGGTTGTGACTCTTAAAATAATACTAATCAATTTATCAAATACTGCATATGGTTAATTATCACACAGTTGTTAAGTGTAAAAGCTCTGGAATCCAAGCAACCTGCAGTTTAATCCTAACTCCCTCTTTTACTAAATCCATGACCTTAGACAATTTACTTCAGCTCTCTGAGCCCCAGTTTTTGATTTTTCAAATTGGCACAATAATAATCCTAACTTTTAATGTTTTTTATAAGGATTGAATGAAATAATGTAAATAAGGCAGTTAGCAATGCCTGGCACCCTGGAATGGTTCAATATCTGTTAGCTACTATATTGTTTGTTTGTTTTTGTTTTTTCTGAGACAGAGTCTCACTCTGTCACCCAGGGTGGAGTGCAGTGGTGCGATCTCGGCTCACTGCAACCTCCGCCTCCCAGATTCAAGTGATTCTCCTGCCTCAGCCTCCTGAGTAGCTGGGATTATAGGCACCCGCAACCATGCCCAGCTAATTTTTTGTATTTTTAGTAGAGATAGGGTTTCACTATGTTGGCCAGGCTGGTCTCAAACTCCTGACCTCGTGATCTGCCCGCCTTGGCCTCCCAAAGCGCTAGGATTACAGGCATGAGCCACTGCGCCCAGCCCTGTTAGCTACTATATTGTTATTGCCCACTATTGTTATTATAGTATCGTATTATTTGATCTTTACAATATCCATTTGAGGCTATTATTACCTCTAATTTATAGATGAATATTTAATTCTTAGAAACTTTCTCATGGAAAAGGGTTATACAGACCACAGGTTATTTAGAAAATTTGTGGTTAGTAAATTATATTAGTCAGTTAATTGTCAGAAAGTCAAGCTTAAGTAACTTGCCACTCAATATTTATGAAAAGCTCAGTTGAGAGAAAAAATACACAGAAAATAGCCTAAAATTATATATTTCATACACATTTTGAGATATTCTAAAGTTTATCTTTGAATCAAGCCAAGTTTCAAGAGAACAACAGTTTGCTCTCTCATAGGATTGCTTTTATCAATATGGCAGATAACAAAGGACTAAATTGAGAGCTGGTATAAGAAATAGCCCCATGAAATGTTTTTCCTATTGCTAGGGTGTGTCTAAGGATGTGGTGGAGACTGTTGCTTATCATATAATAAACTCTACTCCTTATAAAGATTGCCCACTCTCTCCTACTCTCCTTGGGTCTCAGTGTCAATAAAAGCTGTGTTTGTCCTAAGAAACTTAATTGAGTTTTGTAATGGATTGTATGAGCCATGTGTCTGTTTCTATATCTCTTGTTGCCTTGGTTGCTAGGAAACTCAAAGTTAAGTTTATTACTCAACCCAATAAGTACAGACATTATCCTTACTCCTGGCTTCTTCTTTTTCCTACTCTCATTTTGCCAGAAGGGACAGCTTGCAATATATCTAAAATGGAAAAGAGCTTGGTGCCTTCAAGGTACTGATAGAAGATGTACTGATAGAAGATAGAAGATTCAACATGTAGTTGGATCATTTTTAGAATGGCTAGAGATGAAGCTGGAAAGATAGACATGGCCAGCTGGAGGCCTTGGAGGTGGTAAGAAGTTCTGTATTTTTATAATACACTTCAAAGAGTCTACGGCAAATGAAATATAACAAATCAGTCAATAAACAAAATACATATATAAATAAATTCTAAGCATGTATCTGAATACTATAGATTTCCCATGGAGAAAAATTAATTAAACTATATTTCCCCTGCCTCCAATCCTGGTTTGCAATGAAGAGTCCTCTATAATCAGCAGAATGAAGAACAGAAAGGTAAGGGTCAAATGATAGAAGATAGAACAATTTTTCCAAAAAGAATGGCATAAACACATTTTGGAAGAGAAATTTTCTACCAGCATCTGCCTGGCTGGAGCCCTCCCTCATCAGCTGCTATTGGATAATTAACTCCACCCACACGAGCATGCTACATTTGCCAACCCTGACCGTAGCACTGCTTTACAAGCAACTTAGAGGCTTTACAAGGGCAGCAGGCTGATGTAGCTCAATGGAGAGGAACAGGATCTGGATTTGAAACCAATTCATTAACCAACTAGCTGTGTGACCCTAGGCAAGTCACCCTTCTGAAACTAGTTTCTTCATGTATCAAATAGAGAAAATGGCACTAACATTCTTATCATACAGGGTTGTTAAGATTAACTGTAGATAAAGTAGCAAGATTTTATGGAAATAAAACAGTTGAGGAAACCAGGAGAGCTGACTGCTCCAACTATCTCTGAAATTTAATTTCTGTGAAATGAGGCAGTTGGATTAGAAAGTCTCATAGTGGGATTATATTTCAACTTTATGGGTTGCAAAATAGTCGTACAAAATAAAAGACTATCTGGATATAAGGAGCAATCAAAGAATGGGTGCCTGCCAGGGCTCAAAGAGTATGTTTGCTAGTCTCTTGAGGAGTGTGAATTAGCCCACAGGACCCCAAAGTTTGTTCTCAGTCAGTTGGTGACTTTGGAGTGTTGACAGATTTGAAAGGGAAACATTTCACCAAGTGAATGTGTAAGATACTTTTAAATAGATCTATAAAACTCAAAGTGCACCACAAGAAGAAAAAATGAGGAAAAAACCTGGGCATTTAATATTCAATAGCAATAAAATTTCAGAAAAAAAGCATATTTTGGTGCATTTTCTGGAAAACACAAAAAGGCCTATTTTTGAGAATTTAGATATCTGAAACAATAGAATATTTATTTGGTACCTTTTATATGTAGGTACTTAATATATATATATTACTTAGTGCTCATAATAACCCTGAGATGTAGGGTTTAATGTTTGTTTTATAGATGGCGAAATGGTATTAAGAATGTTCAAATAATTTTCCCCTAGTTGTATGGCCAGCAAATGGTAGAAGTGTCATATAAAGCACAAATCATTGGCTTCAAAGCCCACATTCTTTCTATCATAACTGGCTGCTTCGCAAGGAGAACTAGGGCTGTGCTCATCAAATAGATCAAGTGTATATGGAACATAATTAGGATAAATCTGAAGAGAAACTAAGCAGATGAGATATGTTAAGCTCTACACTGGAAAGAAGAAAAGTGTAAAAAACTAATAAAATATTATAGAAAATAATAGAAAGTAGCTGATTGTACATTATAGATTACAAAACACTTTCCCCTACCCATTTAATTCATTTGTTCCTCACAGTGATGCAAGCAGTATTATCTCCATTCTCAAATGAGAAAAAAGGCTCAGAGAGGGTAGATGACTTTACCAAGGGCATCCAGATACTAATTAGAGTTTGAGCCCAAATCTTTCTTCCAAGTTCCTGTCTTTTCCACCACAACAAATCAACGGGGTTCTTACTCTCATGGCATGGACAATGTCAGTCTATAGAGGGATAATTGTTTCCAGATTCATTTTCATTGGAAAACAGCCCTTATTCTTAGGCATGAAAAATATCAGTCCCATTTTTGTCTGCTCCCAAGTATTCTGAGGGAACTGATATTGAACAGTGCTAGCTGACAAAAACAGCTGTTGTAAAGATCTGAAGAGACCCACCTAAGCTTAGCAAAACCCCACAACACAAGTCCAAGAATCCATAGCACATACCCTTTGTTCCTCTAACAATTAACTGATGCTGCTAGGATAGGGCTTGGTTATACGATGAAGAACCTAACAAGATTATCACTTCTGGAAAGGACCCCACGTGTTGGGAATAGAAATCAGTTTACCGTTCCAAGCAGCCTGGAAATTACAGAAAGCATAATGTTTAACTAACTTGCCCAGGCTGCTGCTTAGAAAATAGAGAAAATTGCCAAGTGCTTCAGAGTTCAATAGTGATCTGAAGACTCCATAGCACTGTGAAGCTCATAATCTCTAATCTTCATAACAGTCCTACAACCTAAAACAGACCTAGGAGATTATTGCAAATGTATGGGTGAGGAAACTGAGTGATAGAGACAAAGGAATTAAACTAAACTGGGGATCTATTATAGGGCAGGCAGTTTATTCATATAAACTTAATCCTCATAATCACCCAAAGAACTATTATAAATAGGCATGATAAGGAAAAATTGAAGTTTAAGCAACTTTACTAACTTTCCCAGATTTACACAGATAGTAAGTGATATAATCAAATAATACTCTTGGAAGATTCTGCACTGTATAATCAAGATTAGTCTTGGGAAATTGGTAGTAATGTTGTCCAGCCCATACTTTCTCAATTATAACATGGTGCCTCTTTTGATAGATTGTAAATGATTTTCCTAAGATCATTTACTCATCTGTTTTCCCTGACTAGACATAGCTCCCTAGCAATGGGACTTTCTCAGTTTTATCTTTATATCAAAAAATACAGTACAAAGCTTAGCAGGTTGGAAGTGATTTATTTCACAAACCAAACTGAAATCCAGCTCTGACTATAGATTCTGTCATAAAAGACCCTAGACAGTTTTAGCCATAGTATATCACATTCAAAAGCACATTCAAAAAGACTTAAAGGTATGCTTCCAGCCATAATAAAATAACAGGAACCAGATTTACTCTACTGTCTTAAATAATTAGAAAACTGAATAAACTATATAAAACATTTTATTTCAGATTTTGGATAATAGGTAGTAGGTAGACTCTAATTCTTGAAATAAGGGGAAAATATGAAGTGAGCCTTGTCATCACCAGGCTTTTTGCCTGGGGGCATATTTTGGATTGTGAAGAAAGAAGAGGGACCCAAGCATAGCTTGATGGTGGTTTTAAATTAAGAAGATACAGATTGGACTCTGCAGGGGGAAAGGATGGGAAGCGAGTGAAGGATAAAATACTACAAATTGGGTTTAGTGTATACTGCTCGGTTGATGGGTGCACCAAAATCTCACAAATCACCACTAAGTAACTTACTCATGTAACCAAATACCACCTGTTCCTCAAAAACGTATGAAAATTTAAAAGAAGAAGATATATAAATGGCCAATTGGGGTCTGGAGATTCTGAGGTAATGAGGGGTAGTTTTGAGAGGAGACATCTTTGCAGAAAAAGAGCTTCAGAAATATGCATGGGGTGAACTTGAAATTTTACTGTCTTCCAAAGTGCATACAAGGGTAAAACTCCATGAGGGCAGGCAAACAGCAACTAGGGAGAACTGAACAACTCCTAGAGATAACAGAGACATTAGGATTTATTCAAGTTTGAACAGTGGAAATTTCTCATTGATCCCTTGGGTTATTCATTGAAAACTCCAAAAAAGCTAGGCTTCAGTAACAGGGCCAAACTATCCGTAGAGTAAAAAGTACTCTGTAACAGATATGCCTAAAATATCTTAAAACAAAACTTCAAAAGGATTAAACTTATTACAAGTAACTCAACTTATAGCCAAAGAAAAACCAAAGACGACAAAATACAAACACACAACAATGTAAACTCTACAATGCCCAACAGTCAATCAAAAATTAAAGATATCAAGAAGTAGGGAAATGTCAGCTATAAACGGTAGAAAAACAAGTCAACAGGAACAAATCCATAAATTGTAGTTGTAATGAAATTAGCATATAAAAACATTAAAAGAGCAATTATAATTATGTCAGGTATTTAAAGGAAAACCAATTATAATAAGGAAAGAAGAAAGATATAAAAAAGAATCAAATGAAATTTCTAGAGATGAAAAAATCCATGAACATCTGAGAGGAAAAATTCACTGGATAGAATTAATCTCAGATTAGACACTGCAGAAGTAGTCAGTATATTAAATAAGACCTAAGGAAATGAAGAGATACATTATGCCATATATTGGAAGGTTAAATATTATTATGCTATCAATTATCCTAAAATTAACCTATAAGTTAAATATAATCCCAATTGATAAATTTACTCTGTAATTTATATAGCAATGCAAAGAAACTAGAATAGCTACAACTATTATGAAAAACAAGGTTGGAGAGCCTATACTACCTGATTTTAAGAGTTTTTATAAAGCTAAAATAATCAAGAATGTGCAAAATTGGTCTAAGGATTGGCATATAGATCGATGGAACAGAGTCGAGCTCAGAAATAGAATACAAACAGAAATAGAAACAGAATGTGGTCAATTGATTTTTGACAAAACAGCCAAAATAACTTAATAAGGAAAGGATTGTTCCTTCAACCGATGATGCTAGAACAACTGGATATCCAATGGAAAAAATAAACCTGGACAATAATATCATACCATATGCAAAAATGAACTTAAAATGAACTATAAATATAAATGTAAAAAAGCTAAACTGTAAAATTTCTGGAAGAACACATAGGAAACAAATTTTTGACCAAAGGTTTGGCAAAGATTTTTTAAATAGGATACAGAAAGCATAAACCTTAAAAGAAGATAATATGATAAAAATGGACTATATAAAAATTAAATATGTCTGATTTTTGAAAAAAATTCAGAAAATGCAAAATAAAGCCACATAGAAAAAAATTAATAAATCATATACGTGATAAAAGACTTGTATCTAGAAAATATAAAGAACTCATACAATTCACTAGTAAGATAATAGAATCAGAAAATGGGCAAAAGATTTAAATAGACATTTTAACAAAACCCACAAACAAATGGACAAAAAGCTCATGAAAAATGCTTACTATCATCAGGCACTAAAAATATCCAAATTGAAACAACATTGAATACTACTACATACCCACTAGAATGGCTACAATTAAAAATATTGACAATTACAAGCATTGACAAGGATACAGAGAAACCTGAACTTTTATACACTGCTGGTAAGAATGTAAAGAATGTACTAATGACTGTTTTTGTTTTTTTTGTTGTTGTTGTTGTTTTTTCATTTTATTATTATTATACTTTAAGTTTTAGGGTACATGTGCACAATGTGCAGGTTAGTTACATATGTATACATGTGCCATGCTGGTGTGCTGCACCCATTAACTCGTCATTTAGCATTAGGTATATCTCCTAATGCTATCCCTCCCACCTCCCCCAACCCCACAACAGTCCCCAGAGTGTGATGCTCCCCTTCCTGTGTCCATGTGTTCTCATTGTTCAATTCCCACCTATGAGTGAGAACATGCGGTGTTTGGTTTTTTGTCCTTGCGATAGTTTACTGAGAATGATGATTTCCAATTTCATCCATGTCCCTACAAAGGACATGAACTCATCATTTTTTATGGCTGCATAGTATTCCATGGTGTATATGTGCCAGATTTTCTTAATCCAGTCTATCATTGTTGGACATTTGGGTTGGTTCCAAGTCTTTGCTGTTGTGAATAGTGCCACAATAAACATACGTGTGCATGTGTCTTTATAGCAGCATGATTTATAGTCCTTTGGGTATATACCCAGTAATGGGATGGCTGGGTCAAATGGTATTTCTAGTTCTAGATCCCTGAGGAATCGCCACACTGACCTCCACAATGGTTGAACTAGTTTACCGTGCCACCAACAGTGTAAAAGTGTTCCTATTTCTCCACATCCTCTCCAGCACCTGTTGTTTCCTGACTTTTTAATGATCACCTTTCTAACTGGTGTGAGATGGTATCTCATAGTGGTTTTGATTTGCATTTCTCTGATGGCCAGTGATGGTGAGCATTTTTTCATGTGTCTGTTGGCTGCATAAATGTCTTCTTTTGAGAAGTGTCTGTTCATGTCCTTTGCCCACTTTTTGATGGGGTTGTTTGTTTTTTCTTGTAAATTTGTTTGAGTTCTTTGTAGATTCTGGATATTAGCCCTTTGTCAGATGAGTAAGTTGTGAAAATTTTCTCCCATTTTGTAGGTTGCCTGTTCACTCTGATGGTAGTTTCTTTTGCTGTGCAGAAGCTCTTTAGTTTAATTAGATCCCATTTGTCAATTTTGGCTTCGGTTGCCATTGCTTTTGGTGTTTTAGACATGAAGTCCTTGCCCATGCCTATGTCCTGAATGGTAATGCCTAGGTTTTCTTCTAAGGTTTTTATGGTTTTAGGTCTAACGTTTAAGTCTTTAATCCATCTTGAATTAATTTTTGTATAAGGTGTAAGGAGGGGATCCAGTTTCAGCTTTCTACATATGGCTAGCCAGTTATCCCAGCACCATTTATTAAATAGGGAATCCTTTCCCCATTGCTTGTTTTTCTCAGGTTTGTCAAAGATCAGATAGTTGTAGATATGCGGCATTATTTCTGAGGGCTCTGTTCTGTTCCATTGATCTATGTCTCTGTTTTGGTACCAGTACCATGCTGTTTTGGTTACTGTAGCCTTGTAGTATAGTTTGAAGTCAGGTAGCGTGATGCCTCCAGCTTTGTTCTTTTGGCTTAGGATTGACTTGGCGATGTGGGCTCTTTTTTGGTTCCATATGAACTTTAAAGTAGTTTTTTCCAATTCTGTGAAGAAAGTCTGTCAGATATTTATAAAGTTAAAAATATGCTTACTATATAATTCATTAATTAATTCCTAGGTGGAAAAAAGGGAAATAAAATTGTATGCCTTCAAAAAATCTTGTACATAAACATTCATAGTAGCTTTATTCTTTAATGAAATTCAAATTTACATCAACAAATGAATAGATAAAAATAAATTATAGCATATGTATCGATGGAATGAAATGCTACTCAGCAATTCAATAAATTATTGTTATCTACAAAACATATTACTGACTGAAGAAACCAGGCATGAAAGAATATATATTCTATATTTCCATTTATATTAAACTCAAGGAATGACAAATCTAATTTATAATGGTAGAATGTAGATCAGTGGTTGCTTGGGTCAGAGGTGTCAGAGCTGAAGTTGACAGAAAAAAGGCACAAAAGGACTTTTGGGGGTGGTAAAAATATTCTATCTTGATTGTGGTGGTGATTACATGGGTCTATACATTTGTCAAAATTCGTTGATCACTACCCTTAAAAGGTATGAAATTTATTGTACAGAAATTACATCTCGATAAATTGAATTTTAAAGGACAATGGTATTATGGAGCTTCTTGTCTACTATAAGAGGGGGAATCAAAGGAGAAGTAACAGTGTGATAACTGCTATGTTGGGGAAATCAGGCATGAATACAACATAGAAGCAGCTAACCCAAATTAGGGGCTTAGGAAGATTTATCAAGGGGAGCTCAGATCTGAAGACATCATAATAGTGTGTTAAATGAACATAACAGCATGCACAAATACCCAGAAACAAGAGAAAGAATGGAATGTTTAAAAACAAAAGCAGCAAGTTTTGAAGAGATATTTAGGAAGCATGAGAATTGACAGGATTGACAGGATTTAGTGATTGATTGAGTTCTAGGAAGAGCAGAACAAGAATAATGTTCTAATTTCTGCCCTAGACAACTAGGTGAGTGTTGATGACATCTTCTGAAATAGGAGATATTGAAGGAGCATCAGATTATGGGGGATGATAATAACTCTAATTTTGAATTCTATTTGGAGTGCCTATAATACATCAAAGACAAGATATGGAACTGGAAAATGGTAATATAGGTCTGTATCTAAAGACAGAGAACCAGGAAGCAACATACAGCTAGTAGTTAATGACAATGGAGTAGATGCATTTCCCAGGGAATTCATAAACTGATAAAAGATGAGGACCAAGGACAAGTTGCAGAACATTAATATTTAGAAAATTAGCGAAGGGAGAGGAACTATATAAGAGCTACTGAGGAAAAAATAAACAGGAGTGTGTGGTCACATGGAATTCATAAATTTAGGACAGTGTGGTTAACACGATCAAATTCCTGAAAAATCAGGAATTAGACTATCTCTTGGGTTTGGTGACAAGAAGGTCATTGTTGGCCTATACAGAGCAGTTTTATTGGAGTGGTGGGAGCAGTGTTGAAGAGTTAGTGAAAAATAGAAAATAAGAAAAGGAGCATGTAGAAAGGAAAAAAGAAAATGACAACTTTTTATCCTCCAGCTAGCTCGATCCAAGACTCAGAGGAATAAATAGACTCTTCAGTGTCTGGGTAAAACTTTTGACTCTAAGTCATTAAATCTCCTTTAGTGGACAAGGAGAATTATATTGATTATAAATTACAGTCATTTGATTTGAGATTGGAAAAGATCTTAAAAAGTGACCAAGTTCTATGCCACTGGAAGCATGTATTTTAGAGCCAGAAGACACCAAAAGATTTTATATGGCAAATGTTTTTTGCCTTCATGATACAGATCGAGCAGGGTATTATTGTTAATCTATAAAAGAAAATGCAAATCAAAACCACAATGAGATACCATCTAACACCAGTTAGAATAGCAATCATTAAAAAGTCAAGAAACAACAGATGCTGGTGAGGATGTGGAGAAATAGGAATGTTTTTACACTGTTGGTGGGAATTTAAATTAGTTCAACCATTGTGGAAGACAGTGTGGCAATTCCTCAAAGATCTAGAACCAGAAATACCATTTGACCCAGCAATCCCATTACTGGGAATATACCGAAAGGATTATAAATCATTCTACTATAAAGACACATGCACACGTAGGTTTATTGCAGCACTATTTACAATAGCAAAGCCTTGGAACCAACCCAAATGCCCATCAACGATAGACTGGATAAAGAAAATGTGGCACATATACACCATGGAATATTATGCAGCCATAAAAAGAAAGAGTTCATGTCCTTTGCAGGGACATGGATGAAGCTAGAAACCATCATTCTCGGCAAACTAACACAGTAACAGAAAACCAAACACTGCATGTTCTCACTCATAAGTGGGAGTTGAACAATGATAACACATGGACACAGAGAGGGGAACACCACACACTGGGGCCTGTCAGGGGTTGTGGGGCTAGGGGAGGGAGAGCATTCGGACAAATACCTAATGCATGGCTTAAAACCTAGATGACAGGTTGATAGGTGCAGCAAACCACCATGGCACATGTATACCTATGTAACAAACCTGCACATTCTGCACATGTATCCCAGAACTTAAAATAAAAAATAAATTCTTAAGAAAAATAAACACAGTTTTACAGATTTGAACAGCCAATTCATTAAAAAGGGATAAAAATATCAAAAACATATGAAAAGTTGTTCAATCTCATTAGTATTTAAATACATGTAAAACAAAACTAAAATACCATATTCCTCCATCAAATTGTCAACTATTAAAAATAGTATAATATGTAGTATGTCAAGGGTGTTGAGAAACAAACACTCTTTTAAACAGTTCAGCATGGCTGTATATTGGTAAACATATTTTCTAAGGAGCAGTTTGACAATATGTGGATGTTCTTCTTTGGTTCGGTAATATCCCTGCTAAATATTTATCCTCAGGAAACAATTAAAACTGCATAGAAATTCACATGCAAAAATATTTGTTGCTGAGATAATAGGTGATGTATAAGAGCAATACTTAGAAACAATGTAAATGAATAAAAAGAATGCATTTCTTTCAAATAAGTATGTATGTATATGATGTGCATCTGTATACCAATACATATGTATATATGTGTATATTCTAATACATATATATATATATGTATCGGGCGAACCAGCCCCCAATATTTCAACAGAGGTTCTTTTCTATTTTCCCTAAGTGTCAGCCATTCTAAGAAATTAAGGGAAAGAGTCCAAAAGAGAGAAATTTTAAAGCTGGATGTCTGGGGGAGACATCACATGTCGGCAGGTTCCATCATGTCCCCTGAGCCGTAAAACCAATAAGTTTTTATTAGCAATTTTCAAAGGGAAGGGAGTGTACGAATAGGGTGTGGATCACAGAGATCACACATTTCAAGGGCAACAAAAGATCACAAGGCAGAAGGTCAGGGCGAGACCACGAGGTCAGGGTGAAACTAGAATTACTAATGAAGTTCCATGTACCACTGTGCACACATTGTCATTGATAAACATCTTAACAGGGTTCAAGAGCAGAGAACCGGTCTGACTAGAATTTGCCAGGCTGGAATTTCCTAATCCTAGCAAGCCTGGGGGCACTGCAGGAGACTAGGGCGTGTTTTCTCCCTATCTACAACTGCATAAGGCAGACACTCCCAGAGCAGCCATTTTGGAGGGCCCCCCCCCCCCCACCCCAGGAATGCATTCTTTTCCCAGGGCTGTTCATTATTAATATTCCTTACTGGGGAAAGAATTCAGTGATATTTCTCTTACCTGTTTTTGGCAATAAGAGAAATATGGCTCTGTCCTGCCTGGCTCCCAGGCAGTCAGACCTAATGGTTATCTCCCTTGTTCCCTGAACGTTGCTGTTATCCTGTTCTTTTTTGAAGGTGCCCAGATTTCATATTGTTCAAACACACATGCTTTATGAACAATTCGTGCAGTTAACGCAATCATCACAGGGTCCTGAGGTGACATACATCCTCAGCTTACAAAGATGATGGGATTAAGAGATTAAAGTAAAGACAGTCATAGAAATTATAAGAGTATTGATTGGGGAAGTGATAAATGTCCATGAAATTTTCACAATTTATGTTCTTCTGTCACGGCTTCAGCAGGTCCCTCCGTTTGGGGTCCCTGACTTCCCACAACATATATGTATATGTGTGCATACATATATACATATGAAGGTACGTATACATATATAGTATACATATATTGTATGCATTCTTTTCCCAGGGCTGTTCATTATTAATATTCCTTACTGGGGAAATAACTCAGTGGTATTTCTCTTACCTGTTTTTGGCAATAAGAGAAATATGGCTCTGTCCTGCCTGGCTCGCAGGCAGTCAGACCTAATGGTATAGATATAGGTATACAATATATGTATATGATGAAATATTTGTTGTCATTAAAATTATATTTTTGAAAACTATAATGATATATAAAATGTTTGTGGGTTATTGCTATATGAAAAAATTGTTTTAAAAAACAGCAAAAACCCAGAGTATTTTTATAATCTAAATTTTATAGTAAAAGATATATGTGCAAACATGCATATACACAATATATGCATGTACACTGCTGAGACCAGTTCAGTCTGGGAGACCCTGACCCAGCAGTGCTAGAGGAATTAAAGACACACACACAGAAATATAGAGGTGTGAAGTGGGAAATCAGGGGTCTCACAGCCTTCAGAGCTGAGAGCCCTGAACAGAGATTTACCCACATGTTTATTAACAGCAAACCAGTCATTAGCATTGTTTCTACAGATATTAAATTAACTAAAAGTATCACTTAATGGGAAATGAAGAGATGGGCTGAATTAAAGGAATAGGTTGGGCTAGTTAACTGCAGCAGGAGCATGTCCTTAAGGCACAGATCGCTCATGCTATTGTTTGTGGCTTAAGAATGCCTTTAAGTGGTTTTCCGCCCTGGGCGGCCCAGTGTTCCTTGCCCTCATTCCTGTAAACCCACAACCTTCCAGCTTGGGCGTTAGGGACATTATGAACATGTTACAGTGCTGCAGAGATTTTGTTTATGGCCAGTTTTGGTGCCAGTTTACGGCCAGATTTTGGGAGGCCTGCTCCCAACAGTACACAAAATGAGTAAGTGTAATACATCATCATGTTAACAGTGATTGTAACTGAATTGTGAGACCACAGGTGATTTTGTTTTCTCCTGTAGGCTTTTCTATATTCTCTAAACTTTTTTCAGTCAATATATACTACTATAACCAGATAAATTAACAGTAATTGTGAAAAATATGGCATCCAAAACTGTAAAGAAATATGTTTATTGCAAGGCAATTAAAAACAAGATCCCAAGTTTAAACTTTCATATGCTGTCTCATTGAGCTGCACATGGAAAACACAACTACAACAACAGAAAATCTTCTGTGTTAAAAGTAAGAAAATCTTGTCTCACTGATAAACATAAATGTAGATAATTTGAAAAGGAACGTTTACTAGGTGCTGGTCATTTCACTGGCTTCAATTCATTTGGGACAATTATCCTGAAAACAAAGTCTTATTAGTCCCATTTTACTGACAAGGAATGTGTTCAAGAGATTAAGGAATTTGCCTAAAGCTGAATTCAAATATAGACCCTTCTGACCTTCAAGATGCACCTTGTCCACTACATGTTGCTGTTCCCATAGTTGACAGGCAACATATTAAATAATTATATTTCTAAATATTACCAGAGGCTATTTGAAATCTCTAAAATAAGGCATCAGGAAAAATGGTTCTGTAAAACTATTTTAGATTTCTTGCTGGAAAATTACAACTACAGGCTCTTACTAAGAAAATGGCACCAAATTACAAATTCTTTTCAATAAGCCAGTCTTTAATAGCTCTAAGCACTAGACTCTTTAATTTGAATTTGGCTGTTATGACAAATACAATAAATTAAGTTGTGAAATTAATCATTTTGTTTTTAATGAAAAAACATAAATACAGAAGCTTTGCTGTGTCTATACATATGGCTGGCAAGGATAATGGTTTATGTTGAAAAATACTACTCTGCAGGAATTCCCACTGCTGTTTATACTGTAATTCAATTTGTTCTATTTAGCTACAAAAATATGCTAGTCTTTCAGATAATCAGTCCACTGTTGAGGTTCACAGCAGGTTAAAACTGAAACCCTTTCCACTTAATAAAAATGAAATCTATGATCTAATTTTTGTTCCCCCATTAGTTCGTAACATAAGAAGCAGAGAATGCTTTATGAACTGGACCAATTCAATGAAATTGAATTTACAAATACTTACTGAGTAACTTGATATGTATCCAGCAGTCTGCCAGATGTTTTACATTTTTCATTTCATTTTTTCCTAATAAAGTTTCTATGCTATAGATCATAAAATTAAGGATCAGAGACATTACATAATCTTAACCAAGGTCACATAGCCAAGAAACAGCAGCAAAAGAATTTGAACCCTCATCTTCCTGAAACTAAATCCTATGCTATTAACATGACACAAAACCATTTCTGATGTTATCGTATAATAGAAGACTGATTGTATACGAAAATAAAATGATGGAGGTTTGTACAAGATGATGTTGATGTGGAAGTGGAAGATGCTGGTGTGGGAACACTAGGAAGAATCCTTACAGGGGATGACATTTAAATAGCTGGTGTAATCATTGGTTTCAGAAGGATTTTATTGTTACCCTCTTCTAAAGTAGAGACTGTAATCCTCATTTGCATAAGATGAATGATACTCAGGTTAATATGCATGATACTGATATTGATACTAATACTTATGATCTGCCAATAAATCAAGAACCCCAAACCTGGTTCTTTATTCTTAGGCCAGTGGAGTGGGTGGGGAGAGTCCTTATAGGCTACCGAGTAGTCAAATGACATAGTGAGTGAGTGGATGGATAATGTCATAATTGGGCATCTTCAAAACAATTGCTAATAAGAGAATAACACAGAATCTCAATACTTCAGAAATTACCTCTGTAACTTCTTTGCTAAGAGGTCATCCAACATCTTCTCAGACATTTAAATCAAGACCTACAAAACCATTTATGCTACTCTTGGACAAGCCGAAAATAATAATTACAATAAGGAAAAAATAGAGAATATGATCTAATTCCTCAGTTGAGGGAGGGGAGATTGAAGCTGCCTGAAAGAAATGACATTTGAGCAGAAGCTTAAACAAGGAAGATTTACATACACGAAGATAGGGAGCAGGCAGGGATTCTGGGCAAAATGAAGAATATATTTAAAGACATGAAAGAATGAAAGTGAAAAATTCTGGAACTGGGAAACAATCAAGTAGTTTGAGCTTAGCTTATATGGGAGAGTATGGGAGGAAGAAACTTGTACTAGTATACCAGAGCCAGACGTTAGAGAGCCTTGAATGCCAGGTGAGACTTTTATAAGTTGTCCCTGCCAGGTGAGTAAACAACGTCCAAAGAGAAAAATACTGCAAACAGAGCCTTTAAGGAGACGGTAGAGGAAAAAGAACCAAAGGAGGAACAGGTAGGGATAGACTTTGCAGAAGCTAATGGAGAAAAGTATGTCAAGAAATATGTAGTGGTCAATAGTACCACAACAATCCACTTAAAACATCGTTTCTTCTTCCTAAACTCCTCCCTTTTCTCTTTCCCTCCACTACCAAAATACTGAGTAATCCACATTTACTATTGCACTTCTTTGATGCCAATTTGTTCCTTAACCCACTGCTTTCTCCATCACATGGAGTCTGGCTTCTTTCTCCATCACATCACTGAAATGACTGAAAATGTCACCTGTAATTTTGGTTGTCAAAGGCAATGCTGTCCTCATCCTATTTGATCTTTCTGTGGCTCTGTTGGCCAAACTTATATCTCTGGTTCAAACCTCCTGCCACATTTCCAGACTCATATATCCAACTGCCACCTCAACATTTCCATGTGGATTCAAATAAACTTGGCCAAAAGGAATGGTTTCTCAAATATACCCAGGCAAGTTAGATCAGAGCAGATAGTATCCAGGGAGAAACTTGTTGTCAGCACTGGATTAGAGGAATCAGGAGTTCAGGCACTGTATTAGTCCATTCTCACATTGCTATAAAGAACTACCTGAGACTAGGTAATTTATGAAGAAAAGAGGTTGAACTGATTCACAGTTCTGCAGGCTGTACAGAACGAATGGCTGGGGAGGCCTCAGGAAACTTACAATGATGGCAAAAAAGGGGAAGCAAGCACCTTTCTTCACATGTCAGCAGTAGAGAGAGAGCAAAGGGGGAAGTGCTGCACACTTTTAAACAACCAGATCTCATGAGAACTCGCTATCCCAAGAACAGCAAGGGGCAAATCCACCCTCATGATCCAGTCACCTCCTACCAGGCCACTCCTCCAACACTTAAAATCATAACTCAACATGAGATTTGGGTGGAGACACAGAACCAAACCATATCAGGCATAGCCATATTTGTTGGCATGCAACTTACAGAAACACTTTTTAAGTGCAATAATTCAGGCAAACCTCACAATCACCTTGGAATCCAGGGGTCATTATTTCCATTTTATAGGTGAGCAAACTGAGGCTCAATGAGGTAGAGTGGCACCATTCATTTATTCATTCATCCATCTACCAATCCATTCATCCATTCTCTTACTATTTATGAGAGCTTGCTATGTGCTAGGCCCTATAACTTAGTCAAAGTTCCTCGGCCAGTCCTGGTAGAGTGGGAATTCAAACCCCAGGCTGCTCACCTTTAAGTCCAAGGATCATTTCCTTTCCATACAGTTGTATGGAGGCCATCCAATCAGGACCTTTTCAGATTTGCTTGTGGATAAATGACACATATTTATAACTGGACAGCAGTTACAGCACTGTATGTATAATAATTGGTACTGGATAAATGTGTCAAGTGAACAAATGGATGGATGAATATGAGGATAACAATAATACTGTTCGTCCTATCCCATAGGATTATTATGAGGGCCAAATGAGATTTTAGTGGAAAGGGTCTTGACAAGCGGCTATTTTAATATTCTTTTTTATTGTTTGTTGCCTCAAATCCTGTTTGGAAATAGCAATGATGCAACAATCTGGTTTGAATCCCCTTCTCTATGGAACAACAGCATTTGGTTATAGGTTATAACCTTGTCTGTTTTTGCTTACTGTCTCCTTCTCAAGATATAAACACCTATATTTTTCATATCCACATACTACCAGGTCCACAAAAAGGGGGCTCAAAATCTGTTTCTTGAATAAATTTATGATTTCCAGTTTTATAGATTAGGGAATCAAAGTTCAGAAGGCTAAATGAATAGCATAAAGTCACCTGGTAATTAAGTGGCAGAACTAAAATTTGTACTCAGGTCTTCTGACTCTAATACTTTTTACAATATACTTTTTTGACTGAGTGTTAGGCCTCACTAGCAATTTAGATAATAATAAAACAATAAAAGTTAGGTACAACTTGATCATTTATGAGGTACATTCCCATACATTTTCTAGCTGACTCTCAAAACAACACTGCAAACACAAATTATAGATAAGGAAATCTAGGCCTGAAGCCCTCAAGATATGTAAAATTGCCTAGGGGCAAAGAACTAACAAATTCAGAAGCCAGGCCCTTCTCCAGGTTCAACATCTCTGGCTTCTTCACCTTCATATTCACACCTTTCTTCCATCAGGCTGCCCTGCCCCAGGAAAACAACCCAATCTTTTTAAGACAGTGTATTCACAACTGTACTCATTGTGCCAGGACAGGCCAGCACAGAAGAATATGGCCTTTCAACTTGCACAGATTTCCAGAAGAAGATATTTTGTCATCTAAAAATGCTGCCAAGGTTCCAGGTACATGATTGGTGAGGAACCAGGCCAGTTGACAAAATATTTGACAAAATTCCAATTGCTGGTGATTCTCAAGTTACAGGAGATAAGGACTTCTTGGATGTGCCCATTGGCCTGCATGCAGTATAATTGAAATAGAATGTGCAGGTGCTGTCAGGGTAATATGACATGTATCCAGATCTTTTTCCTTTTCTTTTATTTTTAGGCTTAAAGTCTAGTCCTCTTTCTTTGGCAGTTTTTGGAGCCATGTGACTGGCACAACTCTGGCAAATACTATAAATGCAATGGGATTGTGATGAAGGGAAAATTGCCATCATGCAAAACTAGAATTAAATATCTGTACTCCTTCTTGGGGCTTTTAAAGGTGGGTGCCATTTCTTAGCATTAAGAAACTGCTTTAATTACTGAGATATAAAATCAAGAGGGAAACTCAGTTTTAATGGAATTTATATTTAAACACAACAGGAATGAGCAGGAACATTAATTGGTACTAAAAAAAGAAGATATTATTAATTTCACCCTACTTTGAGTTATATTCAGTGTAACAAACATTGCAAATACAAAGTAAATTGTATTTCTTAAGTGTAAATATCCTTAAATATAAATATTTTGAATTCAAATGAATTAGAGACTGAAAAGTAATATTTTATGCATTCATTCATTCATTTATTTATTTATTCAAAAAATATTTATTGACCATGGACTCTGGAACCAAAGTCTAGGTGTAAATCAGGTATCTGCCACTTAATACCCCTATTCTATTATTTTAAATCACTATCATTATTGCTAACACATGTCAGGCCCTATTCTAAAAACTAAATACTAAATGAGAATCTGAGTATGCTCTGGAGGACCCCAGAGGAGAAGACATGGTGCTTATCCTTGCAGAACTTGAGGTGACACCCTTGTAAATTGTCCCTTTATTAAATTATCCTCAAATTCCTGCCAAGACTCTGACATAAGACATAAGGATAGAATATATAAGAAAACTGAAGAGGCTAGATATAAGAAAACTGAAGAGGCTAGTGTGGCTAGAGTTTATGAGAAATAAGAAGGGAAAGAAAGATAAAGTTGGAGAGACAGGCAGAGATCAAATTATGCACAGCCTTATAGATTATGGTAACAAGTTTGAATGTTACTTTAAGTATAATAAGAAGTCACTGGAAATAGAGAAATAAGGAGTAGTATCTGCATCAGAATGTAACACGATGACTATGAAAACTGTGCAGCTTCTGATTATTTGAGGGCTATAGAACACTACAAAGACTAAATTTTCTGCTGGCTTTATAAAGTCAGAAAAGTTGATGTCTTAAAAAAGGGTTCCCCAACCTCTGGGTCATGGACCAGTACCTGTTTGTGCCTGGGCTGCTAGGAACTGAGCCACACAGCACGAGGTGGTGGGGGGGTGGGAGTGAGCATGACCCCCTGAGCTCCACCTCCTGTCAGATCAGCAGCAGCATCAGATTCTCATAGGAGTGAGAACCCTATTGTCAACTGTGCATGTGAGGGATCTAGGTTGCACGCTTCTTATTGAGAATCTAATGAATGCCTGATGATCTGAATTGGAACAGTTTAATCCTAAAACCATCTCCCCGCTCTCCCACCTCCTGTTTCTGGTCCATGGAAAAATTGTATTCCACAAAACCAGTCTCTGGTGCCAAAAAGGTTGGAGACTGCCATCTTGAAATATCCCACCTGTAAACATTTCCTGTCTCCCTCCCCCTCACTGTCCTCCTTCTCAAAAAAAAACTCAACATATAGAGAAGAATGGCAGGATTTGGACTAATGCATATTAGGCTTCCAATCCTGGCTCTGCCACTCACTAGCTGAGTGACTTTGGATAACTTATTACAAATCTTTGAGCCTTACTTTCTGCATATATAAAATGAAATAAGATTAATAACACCTGCCCTCATGAGAGTAGTAGGAGAATGACTTAAGTGGGAGCAAAGAAGCTAGCATAGCATTTGGCACATAAATGCTCAATAAATATCATTTTCTTTCCCTTCTTTTCTCCTATGTCTATGTCTATAATAGTGTTAGGGCCATGACATTTAGTATTAAATAATATCCCTGGACAGTAATCATAAAACTTTGTATTACAGATGCTAGTCCTATAATCTAAGGAATATCAAAATATCATTGAGAATAGAAACTTAAATTAATAATAAAAAGGCATAATAAATAATTATAATAACAAAAAGTTTTATAATTCATATATTATTTTCTATTCCTTTCTTCATTTTCTTCTCAAAATACCCTTGTACAATGGGCAAGTCAGATATTATTCCCATTTTATAGGTGAAGGAACAGACTTGGAGATATTCCAATACTTACATATGTTCACTCAATCTGCAAGGGATAGAAAAATAAACAGAATCTAGGTATTTTAATTCCTTTACAAGGATTAATTCCACTTCATTACTAACAGACTGGGAATATACATTAAACGGGAAATGTTGCTCCCCCTGAGACCTGCTGTTGCCCTCAGGACAAGCCATCAAAGTAGTCTGTGATACATGCCTACTCCCACCTCCCAATACTTTATCTATAGCCTTATCTCTCCCCATGTCCTATTCATTAATTTAAGGAGAAGCCATACTGAACTTGTTGCTTGTTTTTCCTGGAACACACCAAACTGTTAGTTCTGGGCACATACTGCTGCCTTTGCCCAGAATGGCCTTCCTGCTCCTGAACAGCTAGGTAACATCTCCTCATGAATATTTCAAGAGTTAACTCAAGGGTTGCTGCAGCTAGGAGGGTCTTCTTGATACCCCATGTAAAATGGCTACCTCATCTTCAGTGTCCCTAAGCACAGCCTTTTAACAAATAATTGTATCTTGCATTTGGTGTAATTCTGTCTATTCTGTCTATCTCTGCATCAGTTGCATTTGGTAAAAATGTGTCTTCTGCTTCTGGACTGTGAGTTCCGTGAGGGCAGGGAATGTGCCATGCTTTTAACATTCTTCTTGTCCAGACAGGGTCTGGCATGGAACAGGTGCTCAAGGAATACTTCATAATACAATGAATGAATTAAGTTCCCTAGGGTCCTTTAAGTTTGATCCAGAAGTCTTATACATAAATAGAAAACAGTAACTCACAGATCTCCTCAGGAAGGAGTCAGTCCAAACCATCTACTTACATTAAAGCATGGAGAACAAAGTGGAAAAACAAAAACAAAGATGTAGAAGTCAACAATGACTGAAATTACTGCTCTTTGAGGAACAGCCCTAACATATCATTTTCCCAGCAGTGACTCTCACCATTTTATCTCCATATGCCATTTTTCAATCCAGACTGAGCTGGTTCTCTAGTGTAAAATAGCCCCAATGCTATTGAGAATGGTTCTGTCAATGAAAAAGCAAGACCATTCACAGTGAAATGCATTTTACCAGGCCTATGCACATATTTCAACAGAGATTGTCTCATAAGTTCTCTGAACCTTGGTTTTCCTATCTGTAAGGTATGGATTATATCCTGTCTTAGCGCCTATACTAGCAAGGCTAATTCATGACATGAGGCATCTAGTGTAAAAATGCTCCAAGCACTGTTAACTTGCTCTATCCTAGAACCTGTGGAAAGAATATCAGAAAAAAAGTTTGACCAATGTGTTGCTGGCTGATGATGGCTATCAGTGGTCGCCAGGTACTATGTTAGAACTCTGCAAAAGACAGAAGAGATGGCCTGAGGGGCTATGTTGGAGGACTCTAGGGTGACTGAGTGAGCCCATCATTGAGGAAGCTTCATAAAGTGGGTAATATGTGGTTAGGATCAGGGGTTGCTCTTCTGTATTCCAGCACCGAACACAAAATAGACATTTCATAATTTTAAAAGGAAGGAAAGGAAATGGAGGGGAGGGGAGGGGAGGGGAGTCATGCTTAAAGGCCCAGCTCACTTCTGTGCAATCCTATTCAGTTTACCTAATCTACACACACACACACACACACACACACACACTCAAACACAAATACACATCTGCTGCTCCCTCAGACCTAAGCTGGGTTCTAGTGACCCTGATATGGATGAGACATAGTCCTTACTTCAAGGACTAAACTGAGACAGACCCAGAAATAGACAATGATAATTTGATGATAAATGCTGTGAAAGAGAAATTCAGGAGAAAGGGAGACAGACTGAGCAGGGATTGACTAACTCTACCTGCAGGGTCCTGGAAGACTTCCCAGAGAGGAAGACACGTAGTTAGGTTAGGCTCTGAAGGAAGAGTAAGAGTTTCCAGGCAGAGTGGCCAAGAGAGGATTCTAGGCTGAGGTCACATTGAAAGCAAAGGCAATGGGGTTGGTGGTGGTGGTAACACAATCAGACATTATTGGGAAGCCTAAGGGTGAGTGTCTAATGGCAGAACAGAAGATGTGGGAGAGAAAGTTGCTGGAGCTAAGGTAAGAAAGACAGGATGGGGTCAGTCCAGCCTTACCCCGGATCAGGCATAAAATGTGTTCTAGGAAAGGGAAACAATAGCAGCAAAAATGACCGGAATCCAGGATTTGACTAGAGGAACTATTTTTAGAAAATCATAGATTGAAAAAGTAAGGGAGGAAAGGATAAGATTTAAAATTTGAGACAAGCAACTTCTTATGGCTTTTTTTCCTTTTATTTGTCTAATCTCACATCATTCTCTACTCACCACTCTTGCCACCTAACCCTATCCCATGGCTCTGCTACATATATTAAAGATAATTAATAAGACTGCCTGGTTTTGTATCCCACCTCTATCATTTATTAGTTTGTTGAACTTGAAAAGTTTCCCAACATTTCTTACCCTCAGTTTTTAGAGCCACCAATGAGTATCCATTGTATGGAATGCTATGTGCTTTAATAATTTCTATTGATCATTTTGTATGTGTCAGGTCCCATTCCAAGTATTTTTGTGTATTATTTCATTTATTTCCAGACAATTGTTTTAATGTAGGTAGTATTTGTGTCCCTATTTTATAGATGAAGAAAGCAAAACACAGTTTGAGAATTTGGTCTCAGGTAACAAAGCTATAGGTAGAAGACAGGGTTGGAATCCAGGCATTTTGATGAAAAAGCCTGTGTTTCCAACCACAGTGAGTAAGAACCTCGACTTCACGTGCCTAAGGTTCTTCAAAAAACTAAAAATAGAGCTATCATAAGATCCAGCAATCCCACTGCTGGGTATATACCCAAAACAAAGGAAATAAGTGTATCAAAGAGATACCTGCACTCTCATGTTTGCTGCAGCACTGTTCACAATAGCCAAGATTTGGAAGCAACCTAAATGTTCATCAATACATGAATGGATCAAGAAAATGTGGTGCTTATACATAATGGAGTACTGTTCAGCAATAAAAAAGAATGAGATCTTGTCATTTGCAACGACATGGATGGAATTCGAGGCCATTACCTTAAGTGAAATAAGTCAGGCATAGAAAGACAAGCATCACATATACTCACTTATTTGTGGGATCTAAAAATCCAAACAATTGAACTCATGGAGATAGAGTTATCAGAAGATGGGAAGAGTAGTGGGGGTTGGGGGACTGGTTAGGGAGGAAGTAGGGACAGTCAATGGGTACAAAAAACAAATTGAATAAGACCTAGTACTGGATAATGCAACAAGGTGACTATAGTCAATAATAATTTAATTGTACATTTAAAAATAACCAAAAGATTATAACTGTATTGTTTGTAACACCAAGGATAAATGCTTGAGGGGATGGATACCCAATTTCCCATGATGTGGTTATTATGCATTGCATGCTTGTACCAAAATATCTCATATACCCCATAAATATATATACCTACTAGATATCTACAAAAATTAAAAATAAAAAAATTAAAACCATAAAAAATAAAAAGGTATCTAGCATTGTGGGGGATCACAGAATCCATGTGTCTGTGTGGTGTGATGAAACACAGAACTCTAATGAATGAGTGAGGAAATGAATGAAAAAATGTTGGTTGAAACGGAAAACACCTAGCTGAGAGAAAAACTCTTCTTCCCCAGGTAGCTAGCCAGGAGAATGAAGAGTTGGTAGCTATAAAGTGGGATGGTGGTGGTGACTGTCTCATTTCATCAGATATACTTGTCATACATGCACCATTGTCCTGAGCCCATGAATAAAACACTGAGAAGTGCCCCAGACACCCTCCAAGGAGCATGATGGGGCCTCAGGGCCCACACCAGGCTCCCTGTGTAGCCCTATGATTGGGCTTCAGAAAGTACCTGTTGCCATTCTTCTGCCTCATCCATCATCATTACAGCCAACCCAAACATCTGATTATGAAGGCACAGCCTGGTAGCAGTGAGCAGCCAGGGAGCACAATGCCTCCAAGCCAGAAGTAAAAGGACTGGGCATGGAGGAAATCATAATTCATCAGCTTCAGAAAACTCAGAATGCTGAAGGCAGCACAAAGCTAATGCTTCTGACCTTATAGAGAAGCAGAAAAGCCAAGGGAGCAGGCTCAGTGAGGGAGGCGACACAGGAGGTGGAGCAGGAGATAGGTTTTTCTGTCCACAGATGTCTGCAAGGTGGTGGGGTGGGGGAGGAGACATCACAGAAATATCTGCTAGTCTTAATCATTCTGCAGAATGACATCTGAAAATCCATGCCCTGGAGACTCTGGGGTAGGACACAATTGCCTGAACTGTCAGACAGTTTAAATGACTGTCCCGAAATCATACAAATAGAAATAGAAAGGCAGATTTAAACCCAGAGCTCTGTGACTCCAAAGTCTATGCTCTTTCTCTTCTACCACACTGCCCCATGATTACACAGGAGTGTATTCTAAGATGTGTGTGCCCAATTTCACACCACTGCTGCATGTCAGCTTGAGAGAGAGAGAGAACAAGCTAGCAAGTTGCCACTAGCTAGATCTTATCTACTCCAAATTTCCTATTCTCATCCCCGTTTTATACTGATCCAGGCAGAAGCAGTAATGTGACCAAGGTCACACAGTAGCTAGTATAAAGGTCTCTGAATTTCCACATACCTCGTAAGAGGAGAAAAGTTGCCACCTCCAGGTTTCCAGTGAAAACTATACTTTCCAGGCCAGCTAACAGTTTGAAGGTCATTTACCAAGATGCTTCACACGCATGCTTGTTTACTTAAAAAAAGGAAAGAAGCCTAATTATAGCCCACTGAGAAATAAGATGTTGATGTATAAATGAAATTATGAAAAAAACATCTAATGGCATGCTTGGGAAGAGCCTATAGGCTTGAAGGATGGATAGTGCTTCAAGCAGGGAAGGAGAGGGGGGGTGACAAAGCCCTGTGGCCAGGTCTTAGGCTGGGGGAGAGGAGTCTCAAGTCATGCAAGTTGCTTCCAGTATCTCCCTATGCACTATCCTGTCTGTGTCCAAAGCAGGGATCTTTCTGCATCCTCAGAGGGTACCTGCAAACCAAAAGGCAGCGAGATACAATGCAAAGAACTTGGGTAACAAAATCACATGGGCTTGGCTTTGCAACTTATCAACTGAGTGGCCATGGGTAAATCACCTCACTTCTCTGAGCCTTGATTTCTTCATATCATCAATGGAGATAATACTTTGTAGGACTATAGTACAATTAAAGGAAACATACATAAAGTATTTAGCATGTTCCTCGAATACATTAGGTATTAATAAACTTTATTACACTGATTAGTGTCGTTATTATTACTATCTATCCCTCATAATGTGAGGAGCATGTCACTGGGTTTCCAGTGGTTTCCATGGTAGTCTCCAGGATTTGGCTATTTTCTGTTAAAAGGACATGGCTTTTCTTTAAAAACAGTGGGAATTGCATGTTTCTCTGAAGTAAAAATGTTCAGCTCCCACTCAACACCCTACCTACCTATTGTGGGTATAATTCTGAGGGGGAGGTGGGAATTATTTCTTTGAAACTTATCACTGAGCCAGAACTGAAACTGCTGAGCCAGGCGCAGTAGTGCCTTCTGACTGTGGTAAGTGGGGACCCTCCCAGACTTTGGAGTGTCTTTTGAAAAATGTCTATGTCCTTCTTTAGTACCTGGGCTGGCTGTGCAGTCCAAGCAGGATGTCCTGAGCCCTGGTTCCTCTGGGTCCTGGTCACTAGACGTGCCTAACTTGAAATTTTCTCAGTCCTCTTCCAGTGCTGGAGATCAACCAGGACTAGCAGTGACAATTGGGCAGGGCATATCTCAGCCCTCCTTTCTCATTCTCAGGGTGTTCGCAATCTTTCTAGTTCCCCAGATGTAGAGACAATCAGATGCTCTGAGAAGGCCCAGAACTTATGGTTATGGGCTTGTCCCATGTCCCAGTTCCAGGATAAGATAGATGCCTGGGTAAGCGATCACTTCTGTGTATTTCCTTCATGGAATCATACAAGATTGGGCCACCAGAATGGTGCCAACATACTGAATTTGGGTGACTCTCATTTATCTTGGACACAGGAAGCGTCTAGAGCTCTGAGATACTGATAGTCCACCACTGACCTCTGGACTTGAGCTATGTATGGACCCAGGCATTGGCTCTTGCCCATCTATGTTCTAATCAAGGTGCTGTCTCCAGGTTTACAGCAACTGAAGATAGCATGGGTGGCAGCAGGCATCCTTAACCCTGTATCCTCTTCTGCTAAGTAGTTACCAGTCTCTTTACAGTGCTAAGATGTTCTCCAGAAGTAGCTGTCCCTATCATGAGATATCTATCTTCTTTGAAGTCTTTCAAAATTGTTACTCTGTATCTCCAATAAGCCTTTCTCATTGTCTCCAATCCAAGTGTGAATGTTGTGGTCTCTTGGGCCATTAATGAGGTGTGCCATTTGAGAACACACTTTCCTTGCACAAACAGAACAGTTTCTCTCTGTATCTGGGCTCCTTGCTTATTCTTCCTGCTGATGGTGGTATGTGAAAGGCAGTTAACATTGTGCAGTGAACTCTGACAGAGTACATTCTAGGAATGTAGGGACTACAACCTAAAGCTAGAATTCAAGATAAAACATTGTTGGAAGATGTGTTAATCTACGTTTATGCTATACAATTCCTAATGGTACATTTAACATAACCAGCAAATAAATTATTTATTCACATTTTTCTGTATACTTAAGATGAGCCCTGCATTTGTGTACATCATTAAAAACCAGTATTTGTAGCGGTACCATGAATGCTGAAGCATCACGAGTAATGATGTAACCAGTGTTAAGTAAATAGTATTAGGAAACTGCTGAGGCAAGAAGACCTATATTGTTTCATTACAAATATGCCCCAAAAAGCCATGCATTGTGAGTAATAACAGTAGTGCTAGCTTTTTCTGCATGTGGGAGATATAAAATTGTCTTCAGAAACTATGCATTTGACAACAAAGAATATGAAAAGATGGCTCCGGATACTTCACATGCACTCATTGAACAATAAACAAATACCTAAGTATCTTCTCTACACATTATTCTACATCTTCATCTAAATTCATGGACCTCACATGAGGTCTATAAATATAGACACATGAGGTCTATAAATTTTGTAATACAATTTTTAATCAAACTGTTTATATAGACATAGGCATCACAAAAAATCTTTGCCTGGAGCCCTGCACGCCTTAGGGGTGGCCTTGGTGAGATCAGTGTAAAACATGTCTAGCTAGTGACTTAACTATGGAATCTTGTCACCAGAGACAGGATAAAGGAAAATATCTGAGGACTGCTTGGTACATTGTCGTTCCTCCCTTACAACTGAAGGGTCACTACAAGTCGCACCTATGCACCTACAGGTATATCATAATCAGCCATTAAAAATAAAGTTTCAAGGCAATCTTTCACAATTTGTACACATTCTCACAATATAATATTACAAGTGAGCGGCAGAATTTTATATATATTCTAAAATTCTACTATGTAAATGGAAAATGCATAGAAAAAAAGACAAAGGAAATAGGATACGATATTGACTTGTCTTTAAGAGGAGAAATCTGAGGGGATTTTGCTGTTTCATGTGTACTTTTCACTACTTTCAAAATTTGCTACAATAAAATGTACTATTTTCACTTTTATTTTTCAGTTCACTGAATTTCTTTCAACATGCCTCTCTCACTACTCTGCACATGATGTTTCCTTTTGCCTATATACTCATTCTCCCCAACTACTTACTTTCATTTGGCTAAATCCTATTTATCTTTGAGATTCCATCAGCAACATCACTTCCTCCAGGCACCCTTCTCGGATCCCTCAAAGCTGCATTAAGTGTTCTTCCAATGAGCTTCCACGTTATCCTATAGATTCTTATCACTCTACATGTAACTGAAAGTTTGTTTGCCTCTTTCCTATCAGTTCTACACTCCAGTGATGTCCATTACTGTGCTTGGCAAATAATGAATACTGAGAAATATTTCTGAAATTAATAGATTAATGAAAATTAAAATACAATTTAAAACTCTCTTTAAAAATATATACATATAGGCCAGGCGCGGTGGCTCACGTCTGTAATCCCAGCACTTTGGGAGGCCGAGGAGGGTGGATCACGAAGTCAGGAGATCGAGACCATCCTGGCTAACACGGTGAAACCTCGTCTCTACTAAAAATACAAAAATATTAGCCGGGCGTGGCAGTGTATGCCTGTAGTCCCAGCTGCTGTGAAGGCTGAGGCAGGAGAATGGCATGAACCTGGGAGGCGAAGCTTGCAGTGAGCCGAGATCGTGCCACTGCACTCCAGCCTAGGTGACAGAGCAAGACTCCGTCTCAAAAAAAAAAAAAATATATATATATATATATGTATATGTATACACACACACATACACATAAACAAAACCTAGGAGATTCAGGGAAGTTTTTGTCACCATTATTTGTTTAAGTTTTCCAATGATAGTTTAAAAAATTTGTTAAGCATGATGATTAACTTTTCACAATAATGCAATAATGTGTGAGCTATGCCTCTCTCAAACCTTATTATGATGTTGGCCCATTACCCATCTGATGTGAAGAAAAAAACTGTCATTGCGTGCTTCAGTAAATAAAAAGAGAATTTGTGGAATTGTTGACAGTTACAAAAAAAAAAAAAAACCTGGTAATTCTTTGGGGCAGTGTTGAGCAAATAAGTTCCTAAGAACACTAATTCCATAAGATATTCTGGCGAAAAAAGACAGAGAGAGGGTCTATAATCAAATAACTTCAGGAAATACTGTATGCACTGGTCCCCTCTGAAGAATTACAACGTGTAGTAGCATATTTCAGTGTTGTAAAAAGTCCTGCTGTAAAGAATATGGTTAATTTATTTTTAATCCAGTACTTCTCAAACGTATTTAAATATGAATCCTTCCCCCTTTATGTAATACCTATTAACATCTATTTCCCAGAACATTTTTGGAAATGCTGGGTTTCAGAGATAAAGGCTTCCAGAGGAAGGAATTTTCTGGCTCACAGTGAAGGCAACAAATAGGAAAAATACTGGAAAGAGAGACAATAAGACTTAAAAAAAAAAACATAAAATGTAACATTTATTGACCACTTGCTATACAGCATATAGTATGTCAAGTATCTTACATATACTAGCTTAAGTTTTATAATAAATTTAAAAAGTAGAAACTATCATTCCCACTTAATGAAAAGTAAATTAAAATTCAAAGGGATTAAGTATGCTGTAGACAGCACCATGTCTGTCTGGGTTACTTCACACACTTCCTCTAACCACTATGCTATGAGCACTGAGCCACACAAACCCTCCTTTCCCTGGTGGAATAGGTGACTGAATGGAAGCACTCCCTTCCTGTATTTATTTTCCCTTCTCTTCCCTTCTTTTCTCCCTTTCCTTCCTTCTTCAAACATCCTGAGTGTTCACTCTGTCAGTCACGTGTGGAACCTGTGGTTTCAGAGATGAATAAGAAATGATCCCTATTCTAAAAAAGCATCCAGTCTCGCCCACCAAGTTAGTAATCTTCCAAGCCCTGGGATAGACAAACAGGTGGATAAGAGGAAAGATGACCCTGTGAGTTGCATCAAAAGCATCTGAAAGGCTGCTGAGGTAAAGATGACAACCCCACCTAGGGATTCTTCCCATACATTTCTGGGGCTGGAGCCTTAGAAGAGGTATTTAGCAGATGGGGTGAAAATGTTCATGCACAAATCACCAAATTAATGCAGTTTTCATTAACTAGATTTATTAGTGAACTTGGGGCAAGCATACCTGTCCCCTATTTCAAATATTCTCTGGAGTTCTGGGAGATGAACAATATGCCAATCTGGCCATATGCCAAGAAGCTACCTGGGAAAACAAGTGTATTAATAAAATTTCACCCACACAGGGTTTAAAAAATAAATATAATTCTGGGCAGAAATAAATACGGTCTTTACTTTTAAACTAATATATTAGTTTAAGGTAAAGGGAGCTTTTATCTTCCGAGATCATACTGCCAGTCACACTGCTCTGAGTGTCTGCCTCACAATCAGAATGGAGAGGTCCATTGACAGGAATGTTTTAAGAAGGAAACATGGAAGGGGAGAGGTGGGAAGGAAGGGAGGGAGGAGACTTGGATGAGACAATAGAGTCATAGGAGATTAAGGGACGTTTGGGGCTTTGATACCACCTGGATTCTCCACTACAAGGTTTAGGTTTAGAAAGATATCCACCACTTCCTCACAGATGCCTCATGATGCCCTAATCTCAAAAAGAATTTTGGACTGACATAGGGAGGCATTTTTGATCTCCCATGTGGATAAGGAGTTTCAGGCCTGCCATTCTTCTTGCTGAAGACTGTCACTGAGGGGAGGAGAGGTGAAGGTAAGGTTCTGCTTGAAATTCAACTAGTGCTGCATAAAGAATGATACACATGAAAAATTGATCATGACACGGCACTCAGGCAAATATTATTAATAATACAATATTTAAACACACAATATATCCCTCTTAATGATGAAAAGAAATCCAAGGTCAAAGCAAATAAAAGTCATTCCAATGTTAACAAAAGGAAAAGAGAGAATTTCTCTATGCACATCACTCCACAATAGCTTCCTTTATACCACCATCTAATAGAGTAAGTAGCCCTTCCATCAATCAAGAGAGGTAGCAAAACCCTTCTCAACAGGAATATTTCAAACCACTAGGCAGTTCTAGAAAAGTACAGAATTCAGGAGTTTTAGCCCTTCTTTTCTCATCTTCTCTAATGTAAAATGAAGGTAATAATACCTAAACTCTTTCTGGGCCTTGTTTTCCCATCTGCAAAATGAGGAGGCCACTAGATAATCTCCAAGTTAACAAATTGCAATTTTGAATATTTATAATTATGTAGATACATTTGGAAGCTTCTGATAGAGTTGGATACAAGCTCAGTTCCTTCACATACTTGGAGTAGGACCTTGGTCAAGTTACTTAACCCCTCTAAACCCCAGATTCATAAATGATAAAATGAGACAATAACATTCCTACCTCAGAGATTTATTTTGAGTACTAGGTAATTCAAGATAATACTGCTAGCGAGAGAAGACATAAAAATCAAGCCCAGGTCTGTTTAACTTCAAAGACTATGCTCTTTCCACTACAATAGTGGAGAATACCAACAAGAAAAAATGTCTACAAAGCCAAGCAGAGTGCAGCAGAAGCACAGGCTTTCTGCTGTAGAATGCCAGAGGCAAGAACAATTAACGTTGTCTATGGGTGAAGGCAGCAAGTTGTTACATCAGGAAAAGAGCTCTGGAGTCAGAGGCCAGTGATTCAAAACATTTAACCTTTCTTGGTCTCAGTGTCTTCTCCTGGAAAACAGGGAAAGTAACAGTACCTGCTTTACAGAGTCATTAAGAGGAAAGATGTAAAGGTTATGTATATAAGCATTCAGCACAGTACTCAGGACATAATAAAATGCAATAAATAATAGCTATTGCTATTATTATAGTAGGTTCTTTAAATTACATGAAATTAAATAATATTATTATAAGTGATCAAAACTTCTAGACTGACCTCAACACTGCACAAAATACTGGTAACCCTAAGAGAATCGTTAAGTCTAGAATAGCATTGTCTATTGGCTTTCCAACTTCTGTATCACAAAAGAAAAAGTCTAGAAAACACAAACTGTGGCCTTCAACCAGGCTTTATTCTCAGAGGTATTATTTACATTTCAGATTTATTATTGTCTCCCATGGTGCTGACATGAAATAACCTTCCATTCTCTTCCATGTTAAAAGAGTACAGTGTTTCTTGGCTCCATAAATAATTCAGGGCTATATTAATATTTTAAGAAGAATAAGCAATATATTTGAATCCTAGAAAAACCATGAGGATTGAAATTAGTTATTTGTAGCTGAAAACTTAATTGCTCCAACATATTGATTGTTTTTTCTTCCAGGTTTTATTGCCCACACAATGAAGAGTGCCTACTCTCATTCTAAATGCTGCATACTTAATTATATCTGTTAGATTTTATTTTTATGAAAACTCAAAAGCATCCAACCATGAACTTAAATGCTTTTGCCCATCTGATGCTAAACATAGAACCATTTACCATTCTTTAAAACAGTGCACTCTTCTTCACAGATATTTTTCTTAGGATGACAGATGCTACTTTTCAAAAATATAGGTTTTAGAGTTAGCACTTATAACCTTGCTAATGAAAGAGAAGAAAACTATGATGCAAATATGTGTATGCATGATCTTATTTAACCCTTAAAATAACCTCCAATGTAGATAATATCTTACCTTTTTACAGATTAAGGAATTGAGGTTCAAAGACATCAGTAACTTGTTCAAGGTCACAGAGCCAAAATGTGCATCCAACCCTAAAACCCAAGCTCTTTCCTCTAAACCAGGGTGCCTCATAGTACTAATAATGACAGTAATAGGTAAGATATATTGAGCATTTACTATGTGCCAGGCACTGTTTTAAGATGTTTACTTGCATTAACTCATTTAATTATCACAACAATCCTTTGAGATAGGGGCTATTTTTATCTCATTCCACAGTTCAGGAAAATAAAGATTAGATAGTTCAAGTGCCTCTTCCAAGTTTCTTTGATATTAAGTGATGGGCCAGAATTTCAAGTCATATAGCCTGGTTCTAGGGTTTATTTATCCTATAGACACTATAGTCCTAGATAGCAAAATCTAAAAAATAGAGAAGTGGGCTTCCATCAGTAGGTGAGTAAAGTAAGATGTCAGGGGGCATCTTCTCAGTTCCACATGGGACAATAAACAGATATCTAATAACAATAAGGTGGCCATGACAGGAAACTCACAGATGATAAGATAACAGTGTTAACAACACCTATTCCTGAATGTGGTCTTGGATCTTTATAGCAAACATGATCTTCCTGGCTGATCTACCAAAGTTGGCCTGCCCAGTAAATGGTAGTCTACCAGGGACCTCTGTACTACATGTGGTTGTACCCTAATGTTTCTTAAATTGTATCTAGACAGGGTATTGCCTCTATTATCTATGATGACAGAGTTCCAGGAAGAGGAAGACAGGTAGAATTAGCTCAAGAGTGAAGAATCTAGATCATCAGACGTTTATTGAATACCAACTAAGTGTCAGGCCCTATGCTGAATCTCTGACTCTTGTTTGCTACCACTGCAGCTACAATAATCTAATATCAATCTTTTGACTTCAACCTGGTCATGCACTTCTAGACCACACATTTCCTTTAACTCAACACATCACGGTAACAGCTCCCTATCTTACATTTGCATTCATCCTGATGTTAATCATCCCTAGAGTAGACAATAGATGGGAAATTCACAATCCCCGATGCTAACACAAGAGATGAGTCAAAGCTCTGAGAAAGAGCTATTGAATGTAAATGTCCATTTTCCTTGGACTTGAGTAATAAAATAGTGCATTGGCTATATATTGTTGTATACAACTTACTCCAAAATCTCTAGTGGCTTAAGACAGCAAACATTTATTATCTCTCACAGTGTCTGAGAATGAGGAATCTGGGAGTAAATTAGCTAGATTGTTCTAGCTCAAGGCCTCTCATGAGGTTTTCATCAAGCTGTAGCGCTATAGACATCTGAAAACTTTACTGGAGCTAGAGGAACTGCTTCCAAGCTCATTGGCATGGCTTGGAAGGCTTCAGTTCCTCATTACATAGGCCTTTCCATAGAACCTCTTGTGACATGGAAGCTGGCTTTACCCAGAGAGGAAAAAAGAGAGTGAGTGCAACCAAGATAGAACCCATCATATCTTTTATAAACTTATTTCAGAGTAATATAACCTTATCGATTAATATAACCTTATCATCACTAATGCCAGATTTTATTTATCACACATGCTAACTATGGTACAGTGTGAGTGGAGACTCACAAGAGTTTAGGGTGAAGATCACTGGGAGCCATCTTGAAGGGTAGCTATGAATACCATAAATAGCAAAGAACACAATCTTTAGAGCCAACTGAAAGGTATTACTTAACATTCAGGCAAACATACTTTGGAACAAAGAAACAACTAAAATAATTTGATTTAATTTAGATTAATTGGTTGCTGAATGAATTTAGTTCAAGTGGGGGTTAACTATATTTATGATTTTCATTCTTTTAATGAGAAAAAGTTTGGCAGATACTTTTTTCATTTTTATTTTTTTTTATTATACTTTAAGTTCTAGGGTATATGTGCAGAACGTGCAGGTTTGTTGCACAGGTATACACGTGCCATGGTGGTTTGCTGCAACCTTCAACCCATCATCTACATTAGGTATTTCTCCTAATGCTATCCCTCCCCTTGTCCCCCACCCCCCAGAAGGCCCCAGTGTGTGATGTTCCCCTCCCCGTGTCCATGTTCTCATTGTTCAACTCCCACTTATGAGTGAGAACATGAGGTGTTTGGTTTTCTCTTCTTGTCTTAGATTGCTGAGAATGATGGTTTCCAGCTTCATCCATGTCCCTGCAAAGGACATGACCTCATCCTTTTTATGGCTGCATAGTATTCCATGGTGGATATGGGCCACATTTTCTTTATCCAGTCTATCATTGATGGGCATTTGGGTTGGTTCCAAGGGTTTGCTATTGTGAACAGTGCTGTAATAAACATACGAGTGCATGTGTCTTTATAGTAGAATGATTTATAATCCATTGGGTATATACCCAGTAATGGGATTCCTGGGTCAAATGGTTTTCTGGGCCTAGATCCTTGAGAAATTGCCACACTGTCCTCCACAATGGTTGAACTAATTTAAATTCCCACCAACAGTGTAAAAGCATTCCTATTTCTCCACATCCTCTCCAACATCTGTTGTTTCCTGTCTTTTAATGATTGCCATTCTAACTGGCATGAGATGGTATCTCATTGTGGTTTTGATTTGCATTTCTCTAATGACCAGTGATGATGAGCTTTTTTTCATATATTTCTTAGCTGCACGTATATGTTCTTTTGAGAAGTGTCTGTTCATATCCTTTGCCTACTTTTTGATGGGATTGTTTATTTTTTTCTTGTAAATTTGTTTAAGTTCTTTGTAGATTCTGGATATTAGCCCTTTGTCAGATGGATAGATTGCAAAAATTTTCTCCCGTTCTGTAGGTTGCCTGTTCACTCTAATGATAGTTTCTTTTGCTGTGCAGATGCTCTTAGGGAAAGGATTCCCTATTTAATAAATGTTGGGAAAACTAGCTAGCCATATGCAGAAAGCTGAAACTGAACCCCTTCCTTACACCTTATACAAAAATTAACTCAAGATGGATTAAAGACTTAAATGTAAGACCTAAAACCATAAAAACCCTAGAAGAAAACCTAGGCAATACCATTCAGGACATAGACATGGGCAAAGACTTCATGACAAAAACACCAAAAGCAATGGCAACAAAAGCCACAATTGACAAATGGGATCTAATTAAACTAAAGAGCTTCTGCACAGCAAAAAAAACTATCATTGAGTGAGTTTCTTAATCCTGAGTTCTAATTTGATTGCACTGTGGTCTGAGAGACTGTTTCTTATGATTTCTGTTCTTTTGCATTTGCTGAGGAGTGTTTTACTTCCAATTATGTGGTTAATTTTAGAATAAGTGCCATGTAGTGCTGAGAAGAATGTATATTCTGTTGATGTGGGGTGGAGAGCTCTGTAGATGTCTATTATTTTTGCCTGGTCAAGAGCTGAGTTCAAGTCCTGAATATCCTTGTTAATTTTCTGTCTTGTTGATCTGTCTAGTATTGACAGTGGGATGTTAAAGTCCTCCACTATTATTCTGTGGGAGTCTAAGTCTCTTTGTAGGTCTCTAAGACCTTGCTTTATGAATCTGGGTGCTCCTATATTGGCCGCATATATATTTAGGATAATTAGCTCTTCTTGTTGCAGATCCCTTTACCATTATGCAATGCCCTTCTTTGTCTCTTTTGGTCTTTGTTGGTTTAAAGTCTGTTTTATCAGACTAGGATTGCAACTCCTGCTTTTTTTTGCTTTCCACTTGCTTGGTAAATCTTCCTCCATCCCTTTATTTTGAGCCTATGTATGTCTTTGCATACGAGATGGGTCTCCTGAATACAGCACACCGATGGGTCTTGTCTCTTTATCCAATTTGCCAGTCTGTGTCTTTTAATTGGGGCATTTAGCCCATTTCCATTTAAGTTAATATTGTTATGTGTGAATTTGATCCTGTCATTATGATGCTAGCTGGTTATTTTGCCCATTAGTTGATTCTGTTCCTTCATAGCACCGATGGTCTTTACAGTTTGGTCTGTTTTTGCACTGGCTGGTACTAGTTTTTCCTTTCCATATTTAGTGCTTCCTTCAGGAGCTCTTGTAAGGCAGGCCTGCTGGTGACAAAATCTCTCAGCATTTGCTTGTCTGTAAAGGATTTTATTTCTCCTTCATTTATGAAGCTTAGTTTGGCTGGATATGAAATTCTGGGTTGAAAATTCTTTTCTTTAAGAATGCTGAATATTGGCCCGCACTCTCTTCTGGCTTGTAGGATTTCTGCAGAGAGATCTGCTGTTAGTTTGTTGGGCTTCCCTTTGTGGGTAACCCGACCTTTCTCTCTGGCTGCCCTTAACATTGTTTCCTTCATTTCAACCTTGGTGAATCTGACGATTGTGTCTTGGGGTTGCTCTTCTCGAGGAATATCTTTGTGGTGTTCTCTGTATTTCCTGAATTTGAATGTTGGCCTGTCTTGCTAGGTTGGGGAAGTTCTCCTGGATAATATCCTGAAGTGCATTTTCCAACTTGATTCCATTCTCCCCCCGTCACTTTCAGGTACACCAATCAAACATAGATTTGGTCTTTTCACATATCCCATATTTCTTGATGGTTTTGTTCATTCCTTTTCATTCTTTATTCTCTAATCTTGTCTTCATGCTTTATTTCATTAAGCTGATCTTCAATCTCTGATATCCTTTCTTGTGCTTGATTGATTTGGCTATTGATACTTGTGTATGCTTCAGGAAGTTATCATGCTGTGTTTTTCAGCTCCAGGAGGTAATTTATGTTCTTCTCTAAACTGGTTATTCTAGTTTGCAATTTGTCTAACCTCTTTTCAAGCTTCTTAGCTTCCTTGCATTGGGTTAGAATGTGCTCCTTAAGCTTGGAAGAGTTTGTTATTACACACCTTCAAAGTGTACTTCTGTCAATTTGTCAAACACATTCTCCATCCAGTTTTGTTCCCTTGCTGGTGAGGAGTTGTGATACTTTGGAGGAGAAGAGATGTTCTGGTTTTTGGAATTTTCAGCCTTTTTTGCACTGTTTTCTCCCCTTCTTCACGGATTTATCTACCTGGATCTTTGATGTTGGTGACATTTGGATGGGGTCGATTGGACGTCCTTTTTGTTGATGTTGATGCTATTCCTTTCTGTTTGTTAGTTTTCCTTCTAACAGTCAGGCCCCTCTGCTGCAGGTCTGCTGGAGTTTGCTGGAGGTCCACTCCAGACCCTATTTGCCTGGATATAATCAGCAGAGGCTGCAGAACAGCAAATATTGCTGCCTGATCCTTCCTCAAGGGGCACCCACCAGATGCCAGCTGGAGCTCTCCTGTATGAGGTGTCTGGGTCGGTCCCTACTGGGAGGTGTCTCCCAGTCAGGAGACATGGGGGTCAGGGACCCACTTGAGGAGGCAGTCTGACCCTTAGCAGAGTTCGAACACTGTGCTGGGAGATCCACTGCTCTCTTTAGAGCCATCAGGCAGGGACGTTCAAATCTGCTGAAGCTGTGCCCACAGCCGCCCCTTCCCCCAGGTGCTCTTTCCCAGGGAGATAGGGGTTTTATCTATAAGCCCCTGACTGGGGCTTCTGCCTCTTTTTCAGAGATGTCCTGCCCAGAGAGGAGGAATCCAGAGAGGCAGTCTGGCCACAGCGGCCTTGCTGACCTGTGGTGGGCTCCAACCAATTCGAACTTCCAGGTGGCTTTATTTACACTGCAAGGGTAAAACGGCTTACTCAAGCCTCAGCAATGGCCAGTGCCCCTCCCCCCACCAAACTTGAGCATCCCAGGTCAACCTCAGACTGCTGTGGTGGCAGTGAGAATTTTAAGCCAGTGGCTTTTAGCTTTCTGGGCTCCCTCGGGGTGGGAGTCGCCAAGCTAGACCACTTGGCTCCCTGGCTTCAGCCCCCTTTCCAGGGGAGTGAACAGTTCTGTCTCGCTGGCATTTCAGGTGCCAGTAGGGTATGAAAAAAAAAACTCCTGTAGCTAGTTTGATGTTTGCCTAAATGGCCACCCAGTTTTGTCCTTGAAACCAGGGCGCCTACTCTGTAGGCACTGGAGGGAATCTCCTGGTCTGCCAGTTGCAAAGGCCATAGGAAAAGCACAGTATCTGGAGCCGAGTACATGGTTCCTCACAGCACAGTCCCTCACAGCTTCCCTTGGTTAGGAGAGGGAGTTCCCTGACCCCTTGCACTTCCTGGGTGAGGTGATGCCCCGCCCTGCTTTGGGTCACCCTCCATGGACTGCAACCACTGTCCAACCAGTCCCAATGAGATGAACTGGTTACCTCAGTTGGATGCAGAAATCACCCACCTTCTGCATCAATCTCACTGGGAGCTGCAGACCAGAGCTCTTCCTATTCAGCCATCTTGCCAGCAATCTCCCAATGGCTATTTAAACACCTATTTATGATTTTCAAAGGTTCTTGAGACTTTCTTAGGTTTGGACGATTAGCACCTCAGGGCTAATAATATTTTTATTCTAGTTTCACATCTGGACACTCTCTCTATACCTAGCCCCTCCTGGCCTTTGTGATTGGCTGTTCCTTTGGTGGGTCTACTGGCTTTTTGATTCTGTAACTCACCCAAGATTCTGTCTCTCAATTTTCCCTTTTGGTTCTTCACACTGAAGTCTGTCCACGGGGAAGCACACATACTGCAATGTTCCAACCATAGCTTCTAAGATATTACTCCCTGCTCAGAGCTTAGCAGTCCCTCTCAGGATCATGCCTCTTGGGAAGGAGCCATTTGAGAACCACTTTTTAATTGTGTGGTCTTGAGAAATTTTCAGTTTTCTTGACTTTCTGAGCCTCATTTTCCTATCTGCAAAATGAAGGTAAAATTACTTAGCTACCCAACAAGTGCAATCTCTTACTAACTGTTTGATCTTGAGAACTTATTTAATCTCACTTTTCTTCATCTGGGCAACAGAGATAGGGGTACCTTTCTCAGAGGGTTGTGAAGATTGTGATAATATATGTTAAGCACTTAGCATTATGGTCAGTAATTAGTCTGCAATCAATAAACACTGGCCACTATGTTAATAAATATCATAACATACTATAATAATAATAGCAATTATGATGATGATGATGGTGGTGATGATGATGATGATGTTCTGTCTTATTTTTCTATTATGTCCCTAAAATTGACATTTACTCTGTCCAGAAATTGGCATCTCATCCCCAAACATGTGCCCTATATTTCTGGAGTTACTTTAAAAGGAACATCATATATTTGCATGTATAAATTCCAGATCATATATGAATCACATGACATAGTCATACTCAGTAAATGTCTGATAAATGAATAAATGAACAAATGAATAAATGTGTTATATTTGCTAAGAATTAGGGTTGGTATTTACTTGTTCTTGCCTATGAGAACAAAAATAAATCCACAACTTAGTATTTATATTTTCATGGAACTGCCTTCAAGTTGATCTTTCATGAATGCCCACACAAATCTGCCATTCCAGTCAAACCAATATAATAAGCTTATCCTTTCTACTTTGTGTAGCAGTAGACAGGTTTTGGACTTTGAAATCTTTGACATGAATTTTAATTATAGCTCTGTCATTTACTACCTCGGAGACCTAAGACAGGTCCCTTAACCTTTCTGAGTTTTGGTTTTCTCCTCTGTAATGTGGAAATAATAATTAGTCCTCAATATAATTGTGAGATTTTGGTAAGCTGATATATATTTTAAAATGATAGCACAGCAATTAACACATAATAGAAAATCAATAACTATGAGTTTCTTTGTTGTTTTGCTTGATACCTATTTTTGAAAAGCAATTCAGTAACATGTATCAATTCTGAAACTCCTCCTTCTATCCAACAATTCCATATCTGGGTATTTTCCTCAGGAGGTGACCTGAACAAAGACAAATATTTATATATAGATATATTTTATCATGTCTGCATTCTTAATGGAGCTCTTCAGCAATTGGTAAATAGGCTTTCACAAAGAAGACATTCATTTAGGATAACGCTTGGAACTATTTTAGTGTTTGCCTCATCATCAAGCTAGCATTTAGAACAAGTACTCTTTCACACATTCATTCCCTTACTCATTCAACAAATATTTGAGTGTTAACTATGTGCAGGGCAGAGTGAAAGAGAATAAAGAGATGAATAAGACACTTTCCTCCTTCTCATCAAGCTTATAATGTTGTAAAAATCCAGGTTGCTGATCCACCATTCTTGCCTGATTCTGGCAGACTCTTACTCATCCCTTTGTCACAGTTCAAATGTCACCTAACGTTTGGTAGATTCTCTGATATTCCTAGTCATCAAAGTACTTGGTTCCTTCCTATTTGCTTCCATAGGATTCTGTACATGCCTATTTTTATGGTTGACCACATTATATTGTTAGCGTATGTTTACAAATATCTTGTCTCTTTTGCTGGACTATGAGCCTCTCAATGCAAAAGGCTCCCCAGTTTTGTTCAAATTTTAAAGGCTGCAGCAACAAAACAGGTAATTATTCTCAATAAACGTCTGTTGATGTATGAACGAATTAATAAACAAATGAAAATCAATCACACATTATAACTATGACTTAATTCAAAATTTTAGGATATTTCCTGAAAGATGAATACAGCTTAAAAGGAGGCTAAAGAAGAGATAGTTTACCAGGTTTGGAAAGCAAGAAAGGCATGATGGAGAGGGTAGAAGTTCATAAGAGCCTCAAAAGATAGAAAGGATCACAATAAAAAAATGAATCTTGGGGTATTCTGGGTCTATGGATTAACCCGAGCAAAAGCACTGGGCTGCGAAAGTTGGAACAGGGGTATGGTTTATGCATGTTTGGAGGCCAGTATGAAATCCCATTCACGAAGCCGTTAGAAAACCAGGATAGGAAGGGAGGTTAGAACCATTTTGAAGGACCTTGAAAGAGTGAAGAATTTATTGTGAATTTTATAGGTTGTGTGCATAGTATATGTGTGTAGGAGGTGACAAGGAATATATTTTAGGAAAATAAAAGTTACTCAGGAAAATAGTTCCAGCAATATATAAATTATACCTGGATGTAAGGGTCGTGTAGGAGTGAGAATGCAGAGATGCAGGTAGAGACCAAATGGGAGGCTAGAGGAAGGAAATTTAGGTTAGGGTAGTGGGGTCAGAGACACACTTATAGGAAAACTACCAGGTCAATTGCCTTAGCTTTGGGGCACCACATATTACATAGCAGCATACCTCCCAAGTATTCACAAAGGGAATACATTAAAACCTCTATCCCCCAGTAACTCGAGAGCAAGATTTCAGTGCTGCTGCTATATAAAATGAATGAGGACCAGCTCTGATTTTACAGAGCTTTTTTAGCCCAAAAAGGAGACAAAGAAGCGCACAAGCAACTGTAATCTTAGATAGGGTATGATAAGTGACAAAGGCATATGAAAAAGAGATCCCAAAGGTTCAGAGCTCTAGTTCTTGTGAGCTGCTTTGCAATCTTACCTTCTTAAGACGGCTTTACTCTGTATTCATGTCTAACTCTGCTAGTTAATGTTAGTAAAGTTAGGAAAGGTATAACCTCAGGAATGTCACTTAACCTTCCTGGGATTTATTTTGTCATCTGTTGCCTATTGATAACTTAAATTATGTTTGTTTGCTTCAGTTATGGAATATTATCTATCTTCGATCTCCAGTCACTATGCCCACTCACTTGTGGGATACTCCACAGGTTTCATCTTCCCTGTGCAGAGCTGACCATTCAACTGGTTGTGACCAAGGGTTTCTATAAATTTTGAGCAACTGGAGAACTTTTCAGCACAAGGAGCTTGCTTAGCTCCCTGTTGGGTGGGGTTTAGAGCCAGCTCCATAGTCTCTCTACTCCTTTTATGGAAAGGCTCCTGCCTTTCCATAAATAATCAGTAGGAACATACTCCAAAACAGCTCCTAAATGGAGCAATGTATAATGTGTATGCCTGAAACATTCCAGACAATGACATGTCCATCTGGTTGGTACTGACTAGGAGTGTTAAGCATTTGGTGAGGTCTAGATAAGTGAGGAAGATATATGATACTTAAAGGATATAGACAAGGGGAAGAATTTCTGGAGGGATAATAACAAGAGCAAAGGCACGAAGGAAGAAATTGATATGGATAGAATAGTAAAGAAATATTCTAGATTTAGAAAAAAGGTTTGTAGAAAGTCATAAAGAAAATAATATGAGGAGAGAAACATTCATTCAACATGGAAGCACAGGGAGACAAATTTGAGTTTACTTCAAGAAAAACTTTTTACATTATCACCAGAGATACATTTGTTAAGAGAAAGACTGGGCTTCCTTGGAAGGTGATATGTGGCTTGTGGCTAAAAGAATATGAGTGGAGACTGAATGTCAACTTTGGGAAGCTGTTGTCGGGGATATTCCTACCTCAACTAGGCAACTGGCATTAAATTATGAACTCCAAAATTGGAAGGGAATTTAATAAATAGTATAATCTTGATAATGTGATAAGAAATGAGAAAAATGGTACAGAAGAACAGACAAGAAAGGGAAAAGAAGGAGGGAGGGAATGAGGGAAGGAAAGAGACAGAGAAGAGATGGAGGAAAGGAGGGAGGATGGAAGGAAGGAATTAAATAAGAAAAAGATAGAAAGAGAAAAATAAGAAAGTTATTGAGGGAGGGAAGAAAGGAGGGAAGGGGATGGAGGAAGGAAGGAAGAAAGGGATGCATGGTTGAATCATGCCCAAATTGGTACACTAAGCACAGGTCCTCTCAACTCAATACTATTAATAATAATAAACTCCTGGGGTCTATCCACCCATGAATTTATGATTATGTAACCAACCATGAATAGGACATGGATGCTTCTAGTAATGAAAAATAAGGAAGAGGGGCCCAGCTTTAGATTCTGGACCCTTTCAAGAAGAAAAACAACAGCTAGCTAACAAGGCATTCTAATTGACTGCATCTTGTGGACCTTAAAAGTGTCAGAGCAATTTAACATTTAACAACTAAATAATATATTTCACATCCCTGCCTGGGAAATTTAATAAACTGTGGTGCCTTCAGGGACCCAGCTTCATATAAATTAACTGCCTTCAACTTGGAGCATCGGGGTCTTTATCTTTTGTCAGCTTAATTATGTGTTTAATTTTACTTTTAACATTTTTAAAAATGACCCACACTAACAACAGCCTCAATTGTTTAATTAAACAAATGGATACTGTTATATCTGGCATGATCGAAACTCTAATTTGTCATGTTAATGTTTTGTAGGGAGCCAAGAACTCCATGATGGTACTCAGGCAAATCATGCACTCCAAAGTCTATCTGCCTACCTTTCCAGAGTAATTTAGTGGTTTAACTTGGTTCTGTAGCTATCTTAATACTAATTTGTAACCGAGTCTCCCGGAACTCTAGTATGTTATTAGGTATTTATATAATTTATCTTTGTAGAAAACTTTGCATGGTGTAGATTATAGACTTGAGTTGAATAAAGTATACATCCAGAACAATTTAAGCTCCCAAAGTATTAAAGTCCATAGGCAATACATCAGTCTATAGCCACTAGTCCTCTTTACATCCTTATACCTCCTGTCAAACCATTACTCACATTTCCAAATATATCACCTTTATGCCAATTCTAACCTGGCTCTTCATAGTTCTGTTCAGCTTTTACTTCATAATTACATAAAAGCAGGAGTCTTAACCCTTTGTTACACCCAGAATCTTAGCCTTGACCTCTTGCACTGGCTTGCTTACTAGTCTATAACCTAACTTACTGATAATCCTCATGACTTTTAACTTCATGATTCTTTTCTTCCCCATTTTGGATCAAGATTAATTTCATGTTTCAGGAACACATTAATAGCCCTTTCAATATAGCTTGGTGTCCACAACAGTCTAGATGACCACACCCAATGTTTATACTGTGGTTTCTTGTAGAGCTTCTGAATGTCTCTTACCTAACCTTTTCCACACATAATTGTTAGTTTTCCTACAAAAAGCTTTGATCATTGCCTTCCTGCCTAAAAGCCATTCAGTAATTTCACATTGTCACCCGTATAAAATACAAGTTTCTTAACAAGATAATCAATACCTTTCAAACTTTAGCTCAAGGCCAATATGTTAAACTTATCTGCCTCTAGTTTTCTATTACTATATTTATATGTTGACAGAATATAGACCTCTCATTTTTGCTGGAATGTAGTCTACACACTCTCTCTTTCACACTTTTGCTCACATTTTTTCCATATGCCTAGTTATCATTATTTCTACTTCTCTATCTGACAGAAGAGATACCCTCTACTAGAAAGCCTACCATAATTTCTTGATTCTATTAACATGAGCTGGGTCAATGATCACATCACCATATCATTCATTACTCAAAGAAGGCTGGCCTCATGAATGGACCAGGCACCTGCCTAGGTCTTTGAGCTCTATAAAGGCTCCACTGCTCCTTCCCAAAGGGAGGATATTTCCTTAGGCTGAGGCCTAGAGAATGAAAAGGAGTGGCTATAGAAAGAGCATAGCAGGCCAAAGGACCATTATATACAAAGGTAGAAAATAAATCATTGTATTCTAGGAATTCCATGTGCTCTATGTTATGATTCAACTGAGATTCAGAATAGGAAGAAAAAAATTATATTTGTTTTAGAGAATGTTGCGTACACCGAATTAAATTAGTGCAAATCCATGCTTCATGAAACACTCTCATCATCTGTCTGCACATGACCTTATTGTACTTTATTTTGTTTTGTCTACAGTTGGTTCTCTGCAGGTTCTGCATCCACAGATTAAACCAACAGTGGATTAAAAATACTATTTTAAAAATAATAAAAATAACAATACAACAATAATATAATTCTATTAAAAATATAGTATAACAACTATTTACATAGCATTCACATTGTCTTAGGTATTTAAAGTAATCCAGAGATAATTTTAAGTGTATGGGAGGATGTGTAGGTTATATGCAAATGCTATCCCATTTTATATAAGGGACTTGAGCAGCCATAGATTTTGATATCCGAGGGGGCTCCTGGAACGAATACCTAAGAACACTAAACCATGCCTATATTTTTTTTTAAATAAATTCTAGATTTTACCATTATGACCAGGGCTACTATGATCAATCTTGTATCTTGATGCACATGTTAAGAGTTTCTTTCGAATACTTACCTAAAAGTAGAATTGCTGGCTATTAATGTAAATGTCCAGTGTTTACAAGATAATGCCAAATTGCTGTGATCTGGAGGATAGCAATTAGAGAAATAGTCCAGATGAGAATACTCAACCAAGTTATTCACCTCCCCAGATTGCTCAAGCATGTTTTTTCCTTGATGCTACCAATAACCCTATGGAAAGATCACCTGGCACCAACCACAGTCTTGGAGGTTGCAGAAGAAAGGGTTTATCTTAGTTAGAGTGAGGCTTTTGAGCTCCTTTGCTACCTTTATGGTGGGGGTCATGTTGCCTTGGCACTCTGCCTGTTCAGCTAGCTAGGCCTATTGTGGGTGCAGCCCTAGATTTTTGTTTTAGGAATGACCCAGCAGAGCTTGGCTTCATGTCTTGCTTCATGCAACTCTTGCCACCTGCACCAAGGACTTCCCTGTTGTTGCTGAGGTACAATAACTATGGTACCTGCTTGATGCCCACACACTTATATTGGCTCACCTAACTGGATCCATGGGGCTTCAGGCCACAGGTGGGCCAGGATGGAGTGCACTGGTTGCATACCATCCATCTCCTTAGTGGCTCATTCTGTATCCTATGATTCACTCTGCTGATGTCTCTGCTGCTGTCAGCAGCCGCTGGGGACCAGGTGGCACAACCTAATGTATGGAGGGATTGATGCTTTATAGGGCACATTTTTCACTAATGGGAAATGAGAAAGACTGAGAAACAAAGCTGTGGTCAGCTGGTAACCTGCATATGTATGCTTCCTATATCTCTTCTCCATATTAATTCCCTTTTTGTCTCACTCTTGGTGCCCTGAGATTGCCTCCAACCCAAATTGAAAAGCCGTATTAGCATAAGTTTTTGCCTCAGGGAAGCCAAGTAGCATTTTAGACTAGCAAAGCCATATAAGAGAAAGTATAATACTAAAGCAGTGGAAGTGTCACAGTTGTAGGAAGGAAGGAAACTCAGCTCAGCTGTAGCACAGTACTTACCCTCTGCTCTAACTCACAGATTGCCTGGCCAGTTAAATAGCTGGTTATATCTTGCCCCATGATCCCTCCTGATCTGTATAACAACTGGATTATTCCTTGCTGAATGGATTACATCGGTCTATTTCTACTCCTATAAGGGCTTGCATTTTTCTGTTTCACTTTTTGCAGCTTCATCAGTTCCAACCCAGATCATCCATGTCATGTGGTCACATATTTTGTTTTATTGAGGTGAAACTCATATAACAAAATTAACTGCAATTTTAAAGTAAACAATTCAGTGACATTTAACACAGTCACAACAATGTTTTGCAACCACCACCTCTATCGAGTTCTGAAACATTTTCATCACTTCAGAAGGCAGCCCATTAAGCAGTTATTTCCCATCCTGCTTAGGGGATGAAGTCTAAATCCATGTGTATTGAGTGATTCTATGTGCCGGGCACCATCTGCCTTACTACTTTTAGGTCACTCCATCCATACGCCAAGCCTATAAAGTTAGACTTTTTTCTCTGGTTTTGCAGATGAGAAAACTGAGGTTCAAAGAGGTTAGGTGAGATATTCAGATGACCAGAATCCAAGTTTGCATAAAGACAAACCCCATGCCTTTCCACTAAACCATGCTGCCTCAAAATTGTGAATATTTTTCTCACTTATAAGTGGGAGCTAAGCAATGGGTATGCAAAGGCATACTGAGTGGTATAATGGATTTTGGAGACTCAGAAGGGGGAAGAGCAGGAGGGGAGTGAGGGATTAAAAAAGTACAAATTGGGTACAATGTACACAACTCACGTGATGGATGCACTAAAACGTCAGGCTTCACCACTGTACAATTCATCCAGGTAACCAAAAACCACATGTACCCCAAAAGCTAATGAAATAAAAAGTATATATAAATTTATATTCATATAAATATATTATAAATTTATATTCATATAAATATGTTATAAATTTATATTCATATAAATATGTTATAAATTTATATTCATATAAATATATTATAAATTTATATTCATATAAATATATTATAAATTTATATTCATATAAATATGTTATAAATTTATATTCATATAAATATCATATATTATATATTTATATTTTGTCTCACTCTTGGTTCCATGAGTAAGTTATTGTATATTTATATAATATATATTTATGTAAAAATATTTATATATAAATAAATATATATGTTTATATAATATATAAATTTATTTTATATAAATTTATATATTTATATTCATATATATTTATAAATTACTATAATATATGTATATATAAATATATACATTAATATACAAATATGTTTACATTTAAATATTTGTATTTATACATAAACATAAACATTTATATATTAATGTGTATATATTCATTAATACACTGAATGTCAAATATATAAACTATATATGTTTTAAATATGTGTATATATATATATATGAATTGTGACTATTTTGAGAACATTTAAAACTTATCCTTGGATAAATATAACAATATTAAACCTTAAATAGTTGATTCTTTGTTATGGTAGTTATCTATTTCTATATGACAAATCACCCAAAAGCTTAGTAAGTTACAGTAACAGCGCCATTTATTTGCACAAAATTATGTCCATTAGGAATTTGGTCTAGACTCAGCTGGGTAGTTTGACAGCTTCTTCACATAATAACAGAAGCATTCTAATAGCACCGAAGCAGATATGGCAAGGGCTCTTAATGTCCGTATGGCTTCAGAAATCACAAAGTGTTTCTTCTGACACATTCTAGTGGTCAAAACAAGTCTTAAGGCCAGTCCAGACTGAAAGCCTGGGAAATAGATTCCACATCTTATAAGAAAGTGTTAATGTCACATTGCAAAAGGGTATGAACTCAGGGAGGTGTGTTTCATTGGAGGCTATAACTGTAAGAATCTACCATACATATTCTACAGTTAATTCCCTAACCGATTGCTTTTCACTTTGTAATGTTCCAGGCACAAGGACCCCTTCAAGTGTTATTTGGGGAGAGGAAACAAAGGCATCATTCAAAATCATTATTCTGCTGCCTATAGTGGGTGGACAGATATGAGGTCTGAATATTCTGTTTCCATGTGTGTGGGTTACACACCACCTATATTCATCAGTGTACTCCAGTACAAGGCTTGATCACAGCCCATATTTCAAGTGATTTTCAGATCCAACCAAAACACTTCAGTTCCAAATGGGTTTAGAGTAGAAACAGATTAACATTTTAAAAAGACTTTTTTTTTTCCTGCAAGGATATATCTAGAAATAAACCCTGGAAACGAGTGATGTAGGAGAATAACTCACATATGTTTCTAACTATTAGAAGTGAAGGAACTACAATATGATAGTCATTCCACTGACCATCACCCTTCCTTGGGTGTCTTGTTCCTTCCTTACATGCCAATTCAGAAAGTATGATCAATGACTGTAATGTTGCTTGCTCTGTGGCCTGAAATTATCTCTTTCTCCAGTACCTTTGTATATCCTTCAGGGAGACACTCACTTTTTCCTCTGTGCCCACGCCCTAATATACTACATGTATATGATTATCACAGTTTATCAATATGTTTTTCTATGGAAGCCAAGAGAAATTTGTTGATATACCATGGGCAGATACTAGACTAAGAGCTAAACAAGAATTATTGCATTTAATCCTTATACCAATCCCTATTATCACTATCTTAGAGACAGGGACATTTAAGCACAGAGATAATAACCTGTGCAAATCACATAAATAGTAAATAGTGGAGCTGATATTTAAACTCAAAACAACTAATGCTAGAGACAGACCATAATCTTAGTCACCAAAATATATTTCTTCCCTATGTTCCAGCTATTATAGAGGATAAAAAACAGACACAGATGACTAAGAACGAGTAACAAATTTCCAGATCCTTATGATCTAATAGAGGAGATGGACACTTTGTTCTTTCATTAATACACTGAATGTCAGTTATCTTCTAGGAGCCACACTAAGCCCTGAGGATATATATTACATTGACCCTGTCTTCAAGAAAATCACAATTTTGCAGGAATACAGACAGGCAGACATATAATTCTCCTTACAGTGGTAAATGCTAGAGCAGAAGGAATGAGCCAGGATGAGCCAGATGTGTGCCTCCAAAAAAATTGGAAGTGGGAGGCGTAGGAGGGAATGTGGCAAGGAAAGCTTCCCTGAGAAGATTATGCTACATCAGAAGCTTTATGAACCAGTAGGAAGAGAGAGAGAGTAATTTATGAATTGAGGTAGTGTCTAGGAATTTGTTAATTTGACAGGGACTTAAATAATGGGCAGAACTTTAACAAAGGAGAGGCTGGGAAAGGACATTGTGAGCAGAGCCAAACAACATATGTAGAAGTGTGGAGGTAGGATCCTATACCATGTTGTCCCATGAATAATAAATTTAGATGAAGCACAGGGTACACAGAAGAAGATAGTAAAAGATGATGTCTAAAAGACCATACAAGTTCGTTGTTGGGTTCTGAAAATCAGTGTGAGAAACTTGAATATTATTGTAGCAACAGGGAAGCATGGTAGGGGTTTAAGTAGGATAAAAGCATCATGAGATTTGGATATAATAGTACTCTAGGCTGGGCGCAGTGGCTCACGCCTGTAATCCCAGCACCGTGGGAGGCTGAGGTGGGCAAATCATCTGGGGTTGGGAGTTTGAGACCAGCCTGACCAAAAATCCAATTTCTACTAAAAATACAAAAGTTAGCCAGGTGTGGTGGCACATGCCTGTAATCCCAGCTACTTGGGAGGCTGAGGCAGGAGGATCGCTTGAACCCAGGAGGCAGAGGTTGTGGTGAGCTGAGATCATGCCATTGCCCTCCAGCCTGGGTAACAAGAGTGAAACTCTGTCTCAAAAAAAAAAATAGTACTCTATACCAAACCAAGGATCTATATGGGTAGAAGAGCAAAAATACATCTTAAGACAGAAAGGAAAAAGAACAATCTTTTATTCAATGCCTATTACGTATGAAGCCTAAGGCTAGTTGTTTTGTTTATATTTGTTCATTTAACTCAAAAAATAATCGTGTGAAATAGATACTCATGCCATTATTTTACTGATTGGAATACAGCTCAAAGAGGTTAATTTAACTCCTCCAAACCCAATAGTAAACTAGAAAAGAGTAGAGCTAGAATTTGAACCCAGTCTATCTGTATCTGGAGTCTGTACTTTTTGCTTACACTATACTGTCTCTAATCCCAAGAAGGACTTTGCCATTGTATATTTATTGTATTAGTCATTAAGCCAGTCAGACCATGTTCTAGTTGGTAGGAATACAGAGTGATCCATACAGACAAATCTCTACTCTTGGAGTTCACATTATAGTGGGAAAAGACTGACATTATACTAATGAAAAAAGATATGTCAGCATGTTATAAATGCTATATGGAGTAATAAGTATGGTAAGAGAATAATGATTGAGGGTTGGGGTTACAATTTTAAATTGTGTGGTCAGGAAAGGTGACATTTGAGCAGAGACTTCAGTGAAGTGGGTAAGTGAACCATGTGGATCTCTTGGAAGAGCTTCTAGATAGAGGAAACACAGTATAAACAGGATACACAAAAAAGACCAAGGCGTAGTTAAGAGATAAGGAGGAAAATCAGAAGAACATGCAGTTTCAAGCAAAGTAAACAAAGTGTTTAAGGATAGAGTGATCAACTGCTGCTGAGTGGTCAAGATTGAAAACTAAGCATATGATTTGTCAACATTGGAAATAATTGGTGACCCTGAGAAGAGTAATTTTAGTGAAATGATGGGATAAAAGGCCTTGGAGTTGGGTTAAGAAACAGTGAAAGGAAAAGAGAGATAGAAAATAGTATATTCTTTCAAAAAGTTTTTCTATATCAGAGGGAAGAGAAGTGGGGCCACAACAACTAAACAAAAATGGGCAATGAAGTTAATTTTTTTAAAGTTGAAACACTGTATCATATTTGTATGCTGATGAGACTAATCCAGTAAGAACTAGAAAACTGTGAAGTTAGAAAAAATTTTTATAAAATCTCTATATAGGTGAGTTGAGTTGATATTCAGGAGAAAAGATAGCCTTAGATAAAAGCTCAAATAATTTATCAATTCTAAAAGAGAAGGATGGCAAAGTTTCAAAAAATGGATAGATTTGCAGGTTGAAGGATGTTCTCCAGGATTGCTTCTATTTCTCCCATAAAATTAAAATAAATGTCATATTTAGCAGGTAAGTTCCTTTTCCATAATTTCATGTTTAATATGCATGGTCTCTTTCTAAGTATTCATTCTCTCATCCTTAGGGGCATTTTTGATTGATGAATTTGAAAGAACAAAATGAAATTGTTTAGGAACAGCCAACAGAGAATGTATATTCCACTGTGCTCCTCCATGTTGTTCAATCTATAGGAGAATACTCTGTTTCTGGGAAGGAAGTAGGCCTGCAGCTTTCAGCTACCTTTGACTGACTGAATTCTCTATTAGAAAGTCCACTGATATGCAGATACATGTAATATTTTCTTTATCAGCAATAAAGATGATATCTTTAATCTCTATCTGCTGACTCTTGTGCCTTTCTCTCTAGACATCCTAAACTCAAATGGCAGGGAAAAAAAAACACTGCCATCTATTCTGACCTCTGAAGTCACCATGCCCATTAACTGAGGATGAAGAAGACAGAAGGAATACTGAATGTCTGAAGAGAGAGAAAACGTTATAAAATTATCCTTTCAAAAGATGGAAGAATAAATTCACTTGGCAAATGTGATATGGACTCACCTGAGGTTTGAAGTCATCCAAAAAGAAACCAAAAATCATGGTTTTGAGATTTTGTCCAAATTCCTTCATTATCTCAGGTACAAATGAAAAAAAATTATTCTAATGTAGTTGGGTTTAATGAGAGTTGAGATTTTTCTAAGAAGTAAGGTATAGGGGAAAGAAGGTAAGGTAGTTAAAGGTACCTAAGAAATTATTATAAAAATAAATCATGAACTGTAAGTTGATAAGGAGGGAAATGGGCATATAAGGGGGATCAGGGGCATTGAAAGGATATTAGGATCAATGGTTTGACTTTCTAATGGTATTGAAGAATTATAAAAGCAGGAATATGGAAGGGATGGACTGAAAAGAAAGGAGATGATACAAGTATTATTGTATGTTTTCACATTTTATCATTTCTGAAAAAGGAAAGATAATGGCAACTTAATTTAGTAAAATATGGTAATAATTGATAAGGTCTAGAATATGATAATAAATAGTGTTGCTGAGGTGGGTGAAAATCAACAAACTGAATGAAGATCAACATTCATTAAAACATTGAATGTGACATTATCAAATGACAGGAGTAGTGATAAGAACATCGGAATACAGGTGTTTTCTAAAGTGATTTCTAACTCTCATATGCTATGATTCTATTATTAAAACAAGTACAGGCAAACTTTTTACTTGATTTACTTTCTATATACAATGAGACTAAAAGATATCCATCAACTGACCAGGGTCTACAGGGTATATTATAAGTTGAATTGAAATGTCACGGGGCTGTCCTAAGTTCAAATCAAGGTCAAAGAGAAAGACAGACCTTTACTTTTGGATCTGTCACAATAACAAGTAAGTGCTATGAACTACCTGCAAAAAAGATAAGATGCTACCTGTGTAGATGACATGGTGATGAGTGACAAGTCGTGGATACTGTTCCATAGTTTCATTCTTAATCTAAATCACTTAGACAAGAATCATTAACTCCTTTGATCAGAAGTTTTTCCTGCCCATACAATTATATACAATACACAATCACTCTAGGAGGGCATAGTGTCATGAAGGAGAAAACGATAGACTTGTTTTTCCATACTCTGTAGGTACATAGTTAAGTATTAATTCCATAAAGGTTTGATGATGATGACCGGTGGTGGTGATGATGATGATGGTGATGACAATGATGATGGAATTAAACAGCCAGATTCTCCACACTTGTAAACTATGTACCATGTTGGCCAATTATTAGTAAACTGGCATTTGTTGATTATTAACTGTATTCAAGGTCTTAGTCTCAAGTTGCAGTAAGGTAGGTAAAAAGAAGTGAAGTCTCCAAAAATAAAACCTAGGTAAGGAGCCCAGACATATGTCTATATTTACACATACAGACATGACACTTCCAGAAACCATGCATCTGCATATTTAGTCATGGGTACCAACATACACACCACACTCCACGAAAATCAATGGCACATGTAGAATCCTCCAGTCCCATTAGTACAGCTATCCTTATAATGGGACAATCCCTGAAGTCATAAAATAGTATCTCAATTGCTCTTGCTCATACAAACGATGGAAGCAATCCTGAAGTAATGATTTGACTTCCCATGTTGTTTGATAATAGAGGCTAATGCACAGATGATAGAACACATGGACTTTGCGCAAACTGCTTCTAATGAGAGTTATTTCTCAAGATAAATTCATAAATTGTTACACTGATGCCTAATTTTAATACCCTATATAAAGAATTTTAGCTAACATAGGTCTACATTTCAGGCCCTGATCACTCCTGGGTACTATCAAAAAAATCTCTTAACTTTCTGTCTCTCTCTCTCTTCCTTTCTCTCTCATACACGCATAACATGTGCATACTAAGTCCTATAATGTTTATGGAAAAGTTCGAAATGGGGTTACTGGAACACAAAGTTCAGATCATGATGTGCTCCCATATTAAATTCAATAGCAAAAGAAAAGGCTAGTCAGGAAACTGGCTGGATCCTAGGCCAGAAAAGAGTAACCGGTGACAACTCAACAAAGCTCTGTCTTGGTTTTCAAGGGTCATCCCCATCCAAACAATCTGGCCACTAGATCCCATTTTGATTATATCTTGTGAAGACACATGGTACAGCAGGAAAAGTGCTGGAATAGTTAAACCCCTGAGTTCCAATTCAGACTCTGCCACTGAACTTAATGCATCCTTAGTCGAGTCATTTTGCCTCATAATCTAGTACAGAAACATAAAAATAATGTCTTGAGTATGGAATAATGGGGTTCCTACTGTACTGTAGAAACATAGATGAGGACTTGACTAGCTTTTCCTAGCCACATTCAGCCAGCAAAATGAACATTACTATTTTCCTTACCATCTAATCATTCCTATGTGCTCTTTTAACCAGTCACATCACAATCATAATCCCCAAGGAACAATATGTGATGTGAATAACACTTTTTCAGTTAGTAAAGCACTTTCATGGTGATCCTCCACAAATCAATGGGTTTGACATGCCTATTTGCTGATGAAAAAACTGAGGCCCACAACAGCAAAGCAACTCATCAGTCATATTGAAACAGTAAACCTGAGTTCCATATGGTAAATTTCTTTTGACTCCCTTCAGTGCCCAGCGTGAAGCTCTGCACTCAGTGGAATTGAGTGCCATGTCTTCTGCCTGGATGTGCTCTTTTGCACAGGACTATTAAGATTATTAAGGCCATTAAGACCAATCTATTGATTTCATATTCCCCCTGAAGGGGTAATCATATGGCAGGGGTCAATTTTGTATTGAGGAGTGGGGAGGGCATAGCACCTGCTGCATAGAAAGACAGCATGATATTTGCCAGGGAAATTCAGTTATCACTGAGATGGGTGGGAACCCAGGAAACAAGATGAGAATTAATGTCAACTGGAATACCAATTTTCCTGAAACAATAAATACCTTTTCCAAAACTTTGGACCTACAGCAGGCCTACATCTTCAGGTTTCACATGGAAAGCCTCAAACTGAAGATGACAGTTAGAGGGCTGTGGTGAACAAAAATTATAAATGAAATTATAACATGTCCTAAGAGGCCAAATGACAGAGTCTAGAAAAAGTCAGTGTATTTAGCAGGGTAGTGTGAAAAGAGCAAAGGCTTTGGAGCTAGGCAGATTTAAGCTGGAATCCTAATTCTTTCACTTACTAGCTTTGTGACTTTGAGCAAATGACTTCACACCCCTGAACCTCAGGTTCCTCATCAATATAATGCATATTATAATAAATGTTTATTATACACATGCATTAGAGATAATGTCCTCTGTAAAAGAGCAGAGCAGAAATGTCAAGTGTACATGTTACTTAAATTTGGTGCTCATTAATAGTACCTAACAGTAATACAGTATCCTATATAGTTTTAAGGTCAATTCCTAGCAGTTAATTTCAATGATGTCATCCCAGCTCTGCATGCGGAATTCAAGTCTCCCTCTTAGGGTTCCATTACCCCTTGCACAGAATTCTGATCTTGTACTTACCACGCCATATAGTAATTATGACAACTCTGTGTCTGTTTCATTCAGCACTATATTCTTAGGGCTTGACACAGGGTAGATACCCAGCAAATGTTAGGTAAATAAATGAATAATGTATTCCCTAATAGAATACAAACCTGTCAAGAATGGGAACTAGGTCTCATTCTCAAATTTAATCTTTATGAGAACAAGGACCATTCCTGCTTTGTGCCTTGATCACTGCTGAAACACTAGTAACTAGGACAGTTACTGGGGTTGAGTGAGCTGAGCCTATTTTTCCAGCAGCCAGTTCAGGACCTGAAACAGAGTGAATGCTCTGTGAATGTTTGTCGAATGAATTAATAAATGAATGAATATAATCTTTAATTAGTCTTGTCACTAAAGTAGGTAAAGATTCATCCACTTGGGGTGACTAGAGAACGGTCAGTAATTACTGGGTACATCTTGGTTAGAGATGGTATCAAAGCTGCATAGTTCCATCAAGATGAAGGCAAATCTTGGATGTCAGAGCTACAAAAATCCATAAAGACTATCCAGTCATCTTATGCTAGTACAACTCGCTTATGCTTTTTTAATTTTTCTCATAAATTGAGGCTTTCATTATTATTTCCATAATGCTAAGAGTACTGGGAAACCATTAAAGCATTTTAAACAGATTTTCATTTTCCAAGACCAATCTGGTTGCAGTATTAATAATAGTTTGGAGGTCAACACAACCTGAATGCAAGTAACCAGTAAGGAGGCTATTGCAGTAGCTCAATGAGGAATGATAGTAACTTAAATACCAGTGGAGATAGTGAGAAATGTACAGATTCAAGAGCCAAAGGATACAAAATCAACTGGACATAGTAATGAATTATATATAGGGGGTTATAAAAGAAAAAAATGGGTTAGAAATATCAGTGGCATTATTCTGTTTTTGTTTGTCTCCCCTACTGGAACTGACTTTTTAAAAAATAGTAGTTCTGTCAAATTGGTTTTGGTATTCCTGGTGCCTCATACTGGGCCTTGAACATAGAAGATACTTGGTGAAAGTTTGCGGAAAGAATGCACAAATCATTGCACAGCAAGCAGAGGACAAAAGGAGCAATATTCAGAAGTCAACACTAGCAAGGGAGAGGCCAACAGGTCTGTAACTACTTGGCTGCAATTTATAGGAAGAACCAGCAGATTCAAGACAATACTAGATAGACTATTAAGGAAAAGCTATGACACAGAGAAACAGACAGACATAAGGCATAATGTGATATCTCTGTCTTAGTAAGAGAACAGATGTAGTAGTTATGAATTATGATAAAGCCAATGAAGCAGTTATGAATTCAGGCTTTCAGCCACACTGCATGGGTTCTAACTCTAGCTCTGCCTCCTCCTGCTGTATGACCTTCTTTGGACAGTTACTTAACATCTTTATTTTTTTTATTTTTTTTTTATTTTTTGAGACGGAGTTTCGCTCTTGTTGCCCAGGCTGGAGTGCAATGGCGCGATCTCGGCTCACTGCAACCTCTGCCTCCCGGGTTCAAGCAATTCTCCTGCCTCAGCCTCCCGAGTAGCTGGGGTCACAGGCATGCACCACCATGCCCGGCTAATTTTGTATTTTTAGTAGAGACGAGGTTTCTCCATGTTGAGGCTGGTCTCGAACTCCTGACCTCAGGTGATCCGCCCGCCTCAGCCTCCCAAAGTGCTGGGATTACAGGCGTGAGCCACTGCGCCCAGCTACTTAACATCTTTAAATCTCAGCTTCTTTATCTGTAAATAAGGACAATAATAGTACCAATCTCATATGATGGTAATGAAGATTAAATGATATAACACATATAAAGTACTTATCAACGACTAGCACAATTTCTTAATACTAAATAAATATTAGGTATCAACCAATATATGAGGTCAAAACAAGAAGAAAAATAATAATAGCAATAACTGTCATTTATCTGGCCCCTGCTAAATAATAGTCTCTTTCCAACAACCATTTTACAGATGGGAAGAGTGAGGCTCAGAAAGGTTAAATCATCTTCTGATAGTAAGTGGAAAATTTGACACCAGGTCTGTCTGAACTTCAAGGCCCATGCTATACTGCTAACTTTACTGAATTATTGAATTGGGTCTCCATTTAGTCCCTGATCAACCATGGCCTTGGTATATCTAGTACAGAAGATACTGATCCAGAAGATGGGAATCAAATTGCCCAAGTAAAAGCATAGGAGCTTGAGAAGGGGGTGGCAACAAGGAGCCAGACAGAATCTGGTACCCTGCACAGATGCACCATACATCCATATACTCCATGAACCAAGAGCATTGTGAGCCACATACATGGGACATGCACCCTGTAATTCATTCTGGAAAATGGATAATTATAGGAGGTTGTCAGATTCAATAGGCAAATGCTGGGGAAATCAAAACAACAAATTATGTGAGAGCTGATATTTGTTCAGGCAGACATCTGTCTTCTGTTAGAGAATTTAGGGATGTTTTTCAACACAATGTTTTAAATATGGCTTGGAAAAACCTCTCCTCAGCATGGTCTGCATGATAGAGCCAAATTCCTGTTTCCAGTGGGTCTTTTCACACTCACAGAGGGCTGGTTCCCACAGTCATGGTGGAGGCAGGGAGGGACAAGGACATATTTAGGCTGAGATCCCTCTACCCAGACAAACCAAGCTGTCCTCCTCCTCAAAATGCACTTTCTGCTCCTGTAAGGCCACGATCCACACCACCTCCACATGTGCCCAATTCATTCCTACCTCCGCAGCCTTGTACACTCTGTTCCCATGGATGGCCTCCTTCCTTCTCTCTGTCTCTCCAAACTCATCCTTAAACATTGAGGTTCTTCAGAAAACCATCCCACACTACTCCAGACCACCCCCAACCTGGGTTCCAACACTTGGCATCAGAGCTGCATTGTCTAGAACTTGATCATCTACTGCAGCTTTGGAGTAAGAGAAGAGAATGGTGCATTCAGTCAGAAGAATGAATCCTCAGCCACAGCTCTACTACCTCCTGGCTGTGGGGACTTGGGCAAAATCCCAATATCTCTGTGAACCTCAGTTACCTCATCTATAAAATAAAAATACTAATATCTACTCATAGGGGTATTGCCTAGGTTAAATGAGATAATGCATTTAAAGCAGCACTCAAGATAAAATTTTCATGTGCTGCCTAGTGAACTCATCCAAGTGTGTCTCATCTCCCTGGGAGCAAGAATTATGATGCACTCTTCTTCACTTCCTCAGAATAACAACCTGCTTAGTTGTAGTTGATTCTTTTTCTCTATATCCCCACATGTAAGACAAGCCAGTGAGAAGCTCCAAACCAATGAAGGCCCTGGGTCAGTGCCATCATAAATCTGGTTTTGCCTGTTCTCCTTAAAGGGATTTCTAAAGATGCTGGGGAGAGAACTGCACAAAAGATGAGGAATAACAGAAGAATAGAGGACAACAGAAAACAGGAGTTGTGGTTTTCCCTGGGAAAATTTAGGAATTCAAATCACAGTGGTAGTCAGCAGGACGTAGGCAGTGGTATCTGGTGGATCTTAGCCGCTGAGGCATACGACTAACTGCTCCAGATGGCTACAGTAAGCAGGGGTGAGAATAGAAGAATTGGACAAAAAATCCTGGGCATATTAGACCAGTTTCTAGGGTATTACTGGAATCCCACCCTAAGTGAGACAGGGGCAGAAGACCAAGTGAAGAATGACCATCCTTAGAAGTGGATCCTGAAAGATAGCACAAAATTATACTAAATTGCAGAGTTCCAAAAAGAACAGACCCTTTCTCTCCAAGGTTCCCTTCCTTAGCATTTTGTTTCTACAATAAAAGTATAAACTATAAATTCTACCATTCATAGGCTAGGATTTGGTTCATATGGTACCTTGTACCTACCACAGGGTAAGTGCTTGATATGCTGACCTACCTTGAATCAATCTTTAACGGAAATATCCATAATCTGGAGTGAGGTAGGCCTGCCCTGCCACTTGGTAACAATTTGGTCTTTAGCCACTTAATCTCCCTGAATGTTAGTTTCCTTATCTGTTTAATTGGGCTAATAACATGCCTTGCCCTGGTTACTTCAATTGATAGTAGAAGCTTGACATGAAATAGTGGATGCAAAAGTGATTTATAAACTGTGAAACATTAGAAAGATTATTTTTATTCATTGTATTTTATCTTTCTAATGAGGCTATAAATCCCAGTGGGTATAAGCTGTTTTTTTTTTCATCATCCAGTCCTTGTCTCCTAGGGGTAAAAAAGAGGAGATCATTATTATTTGAGCTGCCTTATATCAGGCACTGTGCTAGGCACCTTACATATCTCATATAATTTTATTTAGTTCTCCTAACAACTTCATTCATTTTTCCTGTAGACCTGACTGCCTTCCAAGAAATAACAGATATTCAGTAAATACTTTCAAGATTGAAATACCATAGTTCCATTTTTCACACTTTGGGGTTTGAATGATGCCATTAAAGAATATAAGTGCTATGAAGGGTAATAAGTGCTAATAAGTGACAAAATGGCAATTTCACCAAGAAAGAAGAGTCCCTTCCTAAACATAATCCTGTCTTCTATTCTACTAAAAAGTGTCAAATTCCTGCTCTTAAATCTAATCAAATGTAGTGAGTGATTCTTCTGTCCCAAGAAGTCTCCTGGCCAGAAGATGATGTTTTTCCTTATATTCACATTCAATCCTAAGGATTACAAAGAAATGTAGACATTCCCTCTGTATCCCAGACGGAATTCGAGGAGAGACTGTAGTTTGCTTAGCACATGTGTATATTAAAAACTGACCTCTACTTTTAATTTTGCACTAATCAGAATCAGAAATGATTCTGCCACCTTCTAGTTCTGTTTGAGAATCTTTGACATGACTTTACTGGCCTGGCCTTTCTCATTTCCCCCTCCATCTCAGGGGAATTACCGTAGCAATTGGTCTCTTCATTGCCCATAAATGTGCCTTGCTCATACCAAGGGTCTTGGAATTGCCTCCTAACTGTTCTTCTTGCCTCTCTTTGGCCTATCACAACCCATAGTCACAAAAGTGCTATTTCTAATAATCCAGTCTGATCATGCTGCCTCTCCACTTCCAAAGCTCCTCATCATCTATGAGGTGAAGTCCAAATGTCTTCATACTTTAAGCTTTCCTATCCCTACCTCCACCCACACAATAGATGCATACATACCTATATAACAATGTTACATGTTTCACTTTTATTTACCCACTTGTGGTTTTCTGAATCTTTCTTGCTCTCTCACTTTCAGGCTGTAAATAAACTGAAAAATAGCCTGCCCTATTATTTGTTTAGATAGCTCTTATATTACTCCAAGAGTCAACTCAAACACTGTCATCTCAAAGAAGACTTCCTTGACCTGACCACTCCATGTGGTCACTGGCCACTCCATGTGGTAGACCTTTGGCTTTTGACAGATATAAGACCTGAACAAAATCCCAACATTAAAATATAGACTATCTACCTGAATTACTTCATTACATATGAAGTGATTACATATGAAACTGAGGCCCAGAAAGGTGAAGGTTTCTCAAGGCTGGGACTGGAACCCAAATCTTTTGATCTTTAGCAATTATTCCAAACATTAAAGATAAATAAAAGAAGAAAAAAACTAACATTTACAAGGTGCCAGATGTAGAACTCACTCTCATACATACTGACCCTCTGATATACTTGCCTTAACCATTTTGCTCTTGTCACTGTTCTACAGAGGAGACCAAGTCTCTAAGAGTCCAAGGTCCCCAAGCTAAGTGAGGGTAGAATTGGGATTTCATACATGTCTCTGCCTCTAAATACAGTGCTTCCCCTTTAATTAGAGTATGTTTTTATCTCACTTGAACCACTCAAGACTGTTTTAATCACTATAGGAAGAACAATGCAAGAATGTGGGGAAAAGCAGATTTACACCAAATATAGTGTACATTGGCAAATTGATTCTGCCCTCAGCACACTGAATGTACATCTCTAAATGGAGAGCTGAGCATAAATGAGGAAAAGTACCGTCAACAGATGCAATCTGTGTTTGCAAAACCACTCTTACCCTAGTTCCCACAGACATGATTGCAAATGTCATATACAGGTTGCCAGGAACCCCGATACTAATTAGGGCAAAGATGTCTCTCCCTAGACAAAGTCAGGTGCCATTGCTATGTCATTTAAGAATGACTTTTGACCTTATATGATAGATTTCTGCAAAGGCTTACATTGAAATGTCAGTATTTCTATAAAATTACATCACATTTGTGCAGTATAGAGGATAAGAACATGGGTTTTTGCAATCAGGCACAAGAGGCTCTGCCAATTTTGGCTTGCCACTTACTAAGTGTGTGACCTTGGCATCTATGAGCCTCAATGTCCTCATATGAAAGATACGGACAATGAAAATGTCCTATAAAATTGCCATGAGATTTAAACATGGTGTTGGAGGCAAAGTACTTAGCACAGGGCACAATTTGTGATGAATCTCTCCCCTTTATCTCCTTCTGCCAATTTTAATGTCCCTCCAAGTGTTTTCATATGTATTTGATCCCCACAATAATCGTTGGCATTAAACAGGACAGATGCTGTTTTCCCATTTTACAGAGACTCAGGAATTCTATATGTTTTGCTTGGAAGCACCCAGCTGATAATTATGTGACAGAACTGGGAACCAAACCCGGGTTTTCTTAGTCCATATTGTGTTCCATAGGCTCTGTGGAGATGCCCGTAAGTAAGACAGACCAGGTCTCTGTCCCCATAGAAAATCCACTTGACATAACAGATTCTACAGAAAAGGGCACAGGAAATAACCATAGATGGCAGAAATGCCTTGCCAGAGACGTTATAAACAGGCCAGCTACAAGCAAAGCATCACAACTCTTGTGTAAATCCCCTGGCTGCTGAACAGGGATCCACAAAACTCTGGCTGGAGGTGATACCACTTGTCCATAGTTAACGATGTGCCAAAGGACCAGTTAGATGTCACCACAAGAATACAACAAACCCTCCTTCCCTTTCACCACCCTCAGAATAGGCTGTGATGTTACTTTAGAAATGTTTCAATGTGTCTATAGAGCTATTTTAGCATTCTCTTAGTTATACCAATCAACACTTCAAAACAAGAGAAACTTGGACATATGTTCTTCCTGATCATGCCTCACATTGAACTAAAACAGTCTTAACACATTAAAAACACGAAGGAAGTTCTTGCTACTTCCCCCTCACACCTCCCTGCTTCATGACCCAGTTTAGGGACTCATTTTACTTGGCTTATGCAATACTCTGCCTAGTTCCCCGCCCTCGCATCTCTTTTCTTCCCAGAACTGGTGGTCCTTGACCCAATCCTATTCTTGCAACTATTTAAGGATCCCTCCTTCAGTAGTAGGAAAATCAGCATCAAAGCAATCTCAGCTTGTTCTGTGTCCCAATGCCAGGCAATGCCCAGGTGACCAGCCAATTAAAAATGAGTTGTGAACTCTAGCCCTGTGCCCGGGTACTTTCCCTGTATCAGAATGAGCTCTCTGTATACACTCCTGCCTCCATCCAGGGTCTCAGCTTCTCCCTCCATTCTTGGACCTGGGACTAGAGTTCCCCGATGCTCCACACCATCATAATCTGGGCATAATTTGGCCATTCATCTTATGTCTTTTCTCATCCTTCATAAGAGCTTTGGCAGTAACCAGCTTGTTGAGCAAATGCTCCCCAACACCCTGCCTCCCCTATGCATACATATTTCTTCATTCCTATATTCATATGCCCCTCTCCCTAGAATACACCCCATTCAGCCTTTGCTTTCAGAATGCCTAATGAATTTATTCTTCAAGGCCAATCTCAAATATGCCCTACCCTGTTATCCTCCAACAATGGGAAAATAAAGCAGGAAAACTGTCAAATGTGGTTAAAAATATGAACTTTTAGTAGTCATACTTCCATACTAAAAGTATAAACTTTCGTAGTCTTATAGTCATATTTGTCCCTACCTAGCTTTGTGGTCCTTGGGAAACTCAATGAGCCTTTCTGGTCCTCAGTTTTATCACCTGTAAAATGGTGATAATAAAACCAACCCTACATGGTAACAACAATACCAAGCCTGACACATTGCGGGTTCAATAAATGACAGCTATTGTAATTACAAGAGAGTGTGTACACAAACAGCTGTCAAAAGACTTAGAATGTAATGGGTATCACAGATCCAGAAGGAGGAAAATTTACAATTGCTTTTTAGGCTGGAAGCCTTCTTGAAGGACAAACATTTTACTCAGCCCTGGAAGATGGCTGGAATGCCAACATATTATAAAGATAATAGAAAAACACTCTAGGAAGAAATAATAACATAAGTAAAATCATGCAAGTGGGAAAATGGGCATAACTGGATGGTTGAAACACACAGGTTGACCGAAGCCAACCTGGGGAGGGGAGGGTAGTCAAGAGACAAATTGCTAGAAATGATTTTGCTGGAGATTAAAACTATGTCATCTACAATGTCCATGAAATGAAGTGAATATAAAAATTCTTACCACCAGAAAATTTGGAAAATATACCAAATTTCTTTGGCATAGATCCATGAAGAGGTCCAGTGAGAACAATTTGGCTTTAGCCAGCATTCATAAAAGGTATGAATAAGATTCAGAATTAAGTACAAAGGGAAAGCTAAAGCACCCTTTTTTTGTTAAGACACAGCAGCCTTTTTGGGGCTTTATTAGAATATTCTTGTGCCAGCTGTCTCTTTTCTCCAACTCACATTCACACAATATGCCTCTCTCTTGTTTCTCGTCAGCACTGCACTAGGATACTAATGAGTTTTCGGGAACAGAAAACCCAATGGAATATTAAAATTGGAAAGAAGAGCTCCTTGAGTTAATTTCACTGAAGTGCATCACAACACACTGCACTGTTGTAAGAATGAATATTCAAATAGGAATCCAGTCATGGGAAAATTAATTAAGGAAAATGTTATTGCTAATATTTCTTTTTATGAATATACATATGCGGAGACACACAACCATCTATTGGCTCCACACTGACAATAATAAAAGCCAAACATTTATGAGAGTCAAATGTTCAAGATCTCTTGCTGAGTTGGTGTTAAAAGATTTTAAATAAAAAAATTATGATTCCAGAGAATTGTTTCTAAAAGACAAATCATGTCATGTCACTCCTTTGCTTAAAATTCTTCAATGGATCCAAAACATTCTTCAGAATAAAGTCAAAATCATCAGGGAATTCAAGGCCCTTCACTATGCGGCTCATGCATACTTCCCCTCATTTCACCTACTGCATTCTCCTAAATACATTGTGCTCTTGCAAATCTCTGTCTTTGAACATGCTGTTCACATTGTGCGGAATATTCTTTTACCCCTTGATATGGTTTGGCTGTGTCCCCACCCAAATCTCATCTTAAATTGTAACTCCCACAATTCTTAGGTGTCGTGGGAGAAACCCAGTGGGAGGTAACTGAATTATGGGGGTGAGTCTTCCCTATACTATTTTCATGATAGTGAATGAGTCTCACGAGCTATGATGGTTTTAAAAACAGGAGTTTCCCTGCACATGCTCTCTCTTTATCTGCTGCCATCCACGTAAGATGTGACTTGCTCCTCCTTGCCTTCTGCCATGATTGTGAGTCCCCCCTAGCTATGTAGAACTGTAAGTCCATTAAACTTCTTTCTTTTGTAAATTGCCCAGTCTCAGGTATGTCTTTATCAGCAGCATGAAAACGGGCTAATACACCCATTTTATCAATTCATTTCTGCAGATGCTGCTCAGTATCATCTCCTCCTTCCTCTGCCAGAGAAAGGGACTCTCCTGGGCGTTCCCATAGCACACTGAGCTCAGTGTTAGTTAGAAAATGCTGTGCACCTATACAATGCTGGAGATTATGCCAGGCAATTGCACATTTTATTGTCATAGACTATTTACTTGGCTGCTCACCCACTAGACAGAATATTTACTGATTAATTAAACAAATAATATGTAACTGTACTATGCTCAGCACTGGGATTCAATGGTGAACCAAAAAACAGTCCCTGCCCTCAGACAGATTATAGTCTAATTATATACTGCAGACAATTATTACATGTCCTTTGAGTAATAATCTCTATCCCCCTAGTAGCTGAATAGTTCTTGAATGAACAAATAAACAAATGAATAAGTGGGTAGGTAGATAAGGTGCTTCTTACTTGAAAGGAGCAGCACACAGATCTTAGGGAGCATGAAATTTAAAAGCAACTTGGTACATCAGTAAGACAATTGAATTCAGAATCAAAATACTGATTCCCACTCCCCAGATTTACTAAATGTGTGACTTTGAGCAAGTCTCTTAACCTCTCTGAGCTTTAATTTTCTAATTCATAAAATATTAATGCCGGTTGGTTTAGAAGGAGTGCAAAGTTTTCACTTTTCTCGTTAATATCCAAAGAGTAAAATCAGAAAGAACACAGTGGAAATACTATTCCAGGGGGTCATAGGTTTTATGGCCAACTCTGATCAACTGGCAGTTGCTTTCTAGAGCACTATGTTGAGAAGGTTTCTGAGACAGAATCCAGATTCAGCAGGAAGAAGTACTGTGATCAATTAGCAATGTCTGCCCAGAAGGAAAGAGGAGGGTAGCTATGCATGTAGCCAGGTATTTGTTACCACACAGCCAGTGAGCATCCATAGAAAGCTCCTAAGGAGATGAGTGGCATACATTTGAGGGCAGTATGGAATGGAGAGCAAACCATAGTCTGGCAAACTGGACCATCAGAGAGAATCCTCCTTCTCATAATGTCCTTTTAGCTACCTAGAGTAATCTTTCTCCTCTTATAGTTGTCTGGAATTATCCTTTTTTATTTGTAGACTATGAACACCTCGTTCCTGGTACATAGGATAGGGCTGATGTGTTGAACAGATGAGTGAGTGAATGAATAAAAGAATGAACAGCTGGTTTCCTCTCTGCATGACCTTGGCCAGATCCTTAATGTAACATATCAAACTATAATTTGATAGAGTTTGTTGAGTAGTGGTTTACATAGCACATTCACCACCTTTAGCTCATTTGATCCTTACTGCAATCCAAACAGGTGGATAATTATATGACTATTTTATAAGTGAGAAAGCTGAGGCTCAGAGATTAAATGTCCTCTTTTGTATTTATCCTATTTGGTCATCAGTTTCCTAATCAGTGAAAAAAGAGAAAAATACATCCTAGTTTTCTTACCTCACTGGTTTGTAGTGAGGCTCAAACCACTGTCAACTAAAAAGCACTGTGAACAAAAGGCAAGATCCTGATAATGCTTTGCTTGCTGAGAACTTTGCATTAATTACCTTTTTTCATGAGAATTTTTCAGGTGGGTATGAAAAAGTGGGTATGATATCCAAAATTTACTGATGGAGGAACTAAGGCTCCAGGCCCAAGGTCACTAAACTATTAAGGGATAAAATCAATGTTTAACTCTAAAACCCATATTCTTTTCTCTATATCATAAGATCTTTCCTTCAACAGGACACTCCTGTTATAATAATGCATTCTTTGTTTTTATTTTTCCTCCAAAGACTAGAGATATTAGCTGTGGCATATTGCATGTGTAAACACAATTTCTTCAAGAGAGTCAGGTTGCTAGCCTGTTCTATGTGATTCTTTAGAGAACTACGTAAGGCAAGGAAGGGTTTTCAGAGGCAAATGGGTATATGTACTAGAGGCCAGAAAAGTGGTTTCCTCTAGACAACATGGCTAAGACTGGGCCTGCCCATGAGTCTAAAGCCGCACACAAAGTTTCTAAGATAAGCAGGGCTACAAAAGGCCTGTGAAATGCTGCCTATTGAAATGCAGGTCTCACAAAATAATCTATAGCTCCCTTGTCTCCTCAGGGCCTGCAGGTCTGGGCTTTGTTCCTAGGTACACAGATGAGTCCTTTATTATATTGTTTAAACAAGAAAATTATGGTTCCCTGAAGGGAAAAGGCTTGGATCTGAGCTTAACTTTTTATCAATCATGTTAATTTGGAAATAAGTTATTGGTTTGACTTTGCATTCATCAGAGTAAAGGGTGGACTGTGTTCCTTTGGTCTCCTTTGTCCTTAATTAACAGCCATTGAATACCCATATTAATTAGTGGGGCTGAGAGATATTTTGCCTCACCCTTCACCATGGTGGGTAATTAAAAGTCCCATTAATAAAATAGTTGCACTCTTAATTTCTATAAACCTATTATTAAAACAATAATATGATTATAGAGTAACTTCCCTTCCTCTCCCAGCCTCCTTTCACTGTTTTTGTCCGTTTCCACAAAGTTCTTAGAATTGTACAGGAAGGACAGGCTCACACATATTATATGTGCTAACTTTGGATCTAATCACTTAGGGTATATAATTAACAGAATAAAACAAACAAAAGTGTTCCTGAGAAGTGAAGAAGAGACCCACTAGAACTAGAAATGTGATGTGGTTTTACAGGCCTGGAACTCCTGCCTCTTTTGGAATTAATGTCAAGGAAAATGAAAACCTTTGTTCTCAATTGGACTGGAAATATCCATAAAGGGTTCCAAATTGGATGCTCTGACATCTTTTGCTCAACTAAATTTAGCAAATATTGTTAAGTATACATTTTGTGTTGAGCACAATGCATGAGAGATACAGAGATGAATCAGAAACAGCCTCTGCCCTCTCAAAGAGTTTGCTATCTGGTGGAATGGAAAGTTCCTTAAACAGTCAACTCAGATACAAAGAAGGTCCTGTACATTAAGGGAAGGACGAAGTCTCCACTTACAAAACATTCTCTAAATCAATGTCTCCCACTGTCCAACAGACTAGACTTGGCATTTCCTCCAGATTCTCCCACCACACCGTGTACTTCTCCAATTATATCACCTAGCACAAGATGCACATTTAGTCCATAATGCAGGAAAGCTTCATTATGACAGCAACTAAGTTTGTCTTAGTCAGTTTAGTATTCTCAATGCTGGCATACTATGTGTATGTAATAAATATCTGTTGAGTAAATGAATGAAAGGGCACTTCTTTTAAACTTTTATTTTACGTTCAGGAAGTACACGTGCAGGTTTGTTACATGAGTACACTACTTGTCACTGAGGTTTGGGGTATAAATGATCCCATCACCCATGTCATGAGCATAGTACCCAATAGGTAGTTTTTCAACTCTTGCCTCCTCACACCTTTGTCCCTCTAGTAGTCCCCAGTATCTGCTGTTCCCGTTTTTATGTTCATGAATACTCAATGTCTGCTCCCACTTATAAGTGAGAACACGTGGTACTTGTTTTTCTGTTCCTGCATTAATTTGCTTAGGAAAACGGCCCCCAGCTGCATCACTCTTGCTGCAAAGGAGATGATGTTGTTCTTTTTTATGGCTACATAGTATTCCATGCTTTATATGTATCACATTTTCTTTATCTAATCCATCATTGATGGACATCTAGGTTGATTCCATGTCTTTGCTATTGTGAATAGTGCTGCAGTGAACATATGCATGCACATATATTTTTGGTAGAACAATTTACTTTCCTTTCATTATATACCTAGAAATGTGGCTGCTGGGTTGAGTGGTAGATCTAAGTTCTTTGAGAAATCTCCAAACCACTTTGCACAATTGCTGTCCTAATTTACATTCCTACCAACAGTGTATAACTATTCTCTTTTCTCTGCAACCTCACCAGCATCTGTTATTTTTTGACTTTTTAATCCTAGCCATTCTAATTGGGATGAGATGGTATCTCATTGTGGTTTTGATTTGCATTTCTCTGATGATTAGTGATGTTGAGTATTTTTTATAAATTTGCTTACATGTTTTATATATTTGTTTTATATTTATTTATATACTTGTATGTCAACATATAAATTTATTTATTTATTTATTTCGAGATGGAGTTTCACTCTTGTTGCCCAAGCTGGAGTGCAATGGCACCATCTTGGCTCACTGCCACCTCTGCCTCCTGGGTTCAAGTGATTCGCCTGCCTCAGCCTCCAGAGTAGCTGGGATTATAGGCACACGCCACCACACCCAGCTAAATTTTGTATTTTTAGTAGAGACAGGGTTTCACCATATTGGCCAGGCTGGTCGCAAACTCCTGACCTCAGGTGATCTGCCTGCCTTAGCCTCCCAAAGTGCTGGGATTACAGGCATAAGCCACCATGCCCAGCTTATAAGCATATGTTTATAAACATGTTGGCTTGTATGTCTTCTTTTGAGAAGCGTCTGTTCATGTCCTTTGTAAAAGGGCATTTTAGTATTAGCCAACTATGCTAATATGAATAGTAACCTTACACAGACAGAACCAAAGCTCTAAAAGACACCTTCTTTCACTACTTGATACTCACAACAGCCCTTGTACTATTATGAAAAAAACCTGAGATGCAACAATGATAAGTTGGTGAGGTAACACCACAACCCAGAGTACCTGACGTTAAACTCACTGCTCTTTTTATTACTGCTTCAATTTCCTACTCATTATTGGTCTGTCCAGGATTTTTATTTCTTCCTGGTTCAATCTTAGGAGGTTGTATGCTTCCAGAAATTCATCCATTTCCTCCATGTTTTCTAGTTTGTGAGAGTTTGTCCACAGTATTCTCTAATTATCTTTTGTATTTCTATGTTATCAGTTGTAATACCTTTCTCATTTCTGATTATGTTACTTGTGTCTTCTCATTTTCTTGGTTAGTGTAGCTAGCAGTTTATCAATTTTAACTTTTTAAAGAACCAGTTTTTCATTTCATAATGCTCTGTATTTTTTTGGTCCCAATTTCATTTTATTCTGCCCTGATCTTTGTTATTTCTTTTTTTTTTCTGGTAGCTTTGTGTTTAGTTTGTTCTTGTTTTTCTAGTTCCTTGAGGTAACATTATATTGTTAATTTATGATCTATTTTTTGATTTAGACAATGCTATAAACTTCCATCTTATCACCACTTTTGCTGTATTTCACAGATTTTAGTATATTGTGTTTCCATATTCATTCATTTCAAAATTTTTTTTTAATTTCTATATTAATTTCATCATTGACCCAAAGATCATTCAGGAGCATGTTGTTTAATCTCCATGTATTTGCACAGTTTTGAGAGTTCTTCTTGGTATTGATTTCTTTTTTTTTTTTTGAGATGGAGTTTCACTCTGTCACTCAGGCTGGAGTGCAGTGGCGTTATCTCTGCTCACTGCAAGCTCCGCCTCTGGGGTTCATGCCATTCTCTTGCCTCAGCGTCCAGAGTAGCTGGGACTACAGGTGCCCGCCACCGTGCCAGGCTAATTTTTTGTATTTTTTTTTTTAGTAGAGATGGGGTTTCACCATGTTAGCCATGATGGTCTCAATCTCCTGACCTCGTGATCTGCCCGCCTTGGCCTCCCCAAGTCCTGGGATTACAGGCGTGAGCCACCGTGCCCAGCCTTGGTATTGATTTCTAAGTTTATTCTTCTGTGGTCTGAGAAGACACTTGATATAATTTCCATTTTAAAAAATTTACTGATACTTGTTTTGTGACCTAATATATGGTCTATGGAGAGTAAGTATATTTCATGGGCTGATGATCAAAACATACATTCTGCAATTGTTTTATCAAATGTTCTTCAAATGTCTGTTAGGTCCATTTGGTCTAAAGTCCATTTTTTGTCCATGTTTCTTTGTTGATTTTCTGTCTCAATGGTCTGTTTATTGCTGTTAGTAGGATGTTGAAGTCCTCCATTATTATTATATTGCTGGTTATCTTTCTTTATGTCTAGTAATACTTGTTTTATGAATCTGGGTGCTCCTGTACTAGGTGCATATATACTTAGGGTTGTTATATTCTGTTTTTGAATTGATCTCTTTATCATTATATACTGACCTTTCTTGTCTTTTTTTTTACCATTTTTGATTTACAGTCAGTTTTATTTGATATAAGAAGAGCTTCTCCTGCTCATTTTTGGTTTCCATTTACATAGAATATGTTTTTCACCCCTATACTTTCAGTGTATATGTGTTTTTACAAGTGAGGTGACTTTCTTGTAAGCAGCATATAATTGGATCATGATTTTATTTCCATTCATCCAGTCTATATTTTTTAAGTGGATGATTTAATCCATTTACATTCAAGGTTAATATTGATATGTGAGGTTTTGTTCCTGTAATATTGTTAATTGTTATCTAATATTTTGTAGATTCTGTTTCTTGTTTGTTTTTTTTTCTAGACACAGAGTCTTGCTCTGTCACCCAGGTGGGATGGAGTGCAATGGCTTGATTATAGCTCCCCACAGCCAAGTTAGAGATCAAGTAAGAGACAGACTTGTATACTGAGGGGACTGTACACAGTTTACTTTTTTGTGGAGCAGAATCTAAAGAACAAAGTCTTGGCAGGCTGTGTAGGTTTTGTAAAGGAGTATGATCTTTATTTCATAGATAATTGGGAATCATTGATCTGTTTTTTTTTTTTTTGAGTCAGGGTATTTCTCTGTCTCCCAGGCTAGACTGCAGTGGTGTGATAATAGCTCACTATAGCCTTTAACTCCAGGGCTCAACTGATCCTCCCACCTCAGCAATGGAGTAGCTGGTACTACAGGCATATACCACCATAACTGGCTAATTGTTTAATTTTTTTTTCTGCAGAGATGGAGTCTTGCTTTTTTGCCCAGGCTGGTATTGAATTCCTAGCTTCAAGTGATCATCCCACTTCCACCTTCCAAAATGTCGAGATTGAAGGTGTGAACCACCACACTTGGCCTCTTTTTATTCCTATGTCTGTTTGTCTTTGTGGTTTTGCGGAGTTCTGTTATGTTTCCATTTGATTATTTTCTCTTCCTCTTTTGTGTAATTGTTTTATAAGACCTTTCATGTTTTATACTTTGATGTGTTTTTATGAATGTGAATATTGATCTTTTATTTCCATGTTTAGAACTCCTTTGAGCATTTCTTGTAGGACTGGTCTAGTGATGATGAAGTCTCTCTGTATTTGTTTGTCTAGAATTGACTTTATTCCTCCCTCATTTATGAAGTTTATTCTAGTTGGATATAAAATTCATGACTAACACTCTTTTTCTTTTAGCACTTTGAAAATGGGATCCCATTCTTTTCTGGTTTGTAAGGTGTCTGCTGAGAAGTCTGCTCTTAGTGTAATGGGGTTTCCTTTATTGGTGACTAGATGCTTTTCTCTTGCTGATATTAGATTTTTCTTCTTCATATTGACTTTACACACTCAGATGACTACATGTTGTATAAAGTCAATTTTGCAATGTATTTTCCGGGTGATCTTGGACCTCTTGTATCTAGATATCTAAATCTCTTGCTAGACTAGGGAAATTTTTGTCAATTCTTTTCCTAAATAAGCTTTCTAAACTTTTTTTCTTCTTTGGGAGTACTGAAGATTTGTAAGTGATATGGTTTGGCTGTGTCCCCACCCAAATCTCATCTTGAATTGTAATCTCCACGATCATCATGTATCTAGGGAGAGATCTGGTAGGAGGTGATTAGATCATGGGGACAATTTCCCCCATGCTGTTCTTGTCATAGTGAGTGAGTTCCCACAAGATCTGATGGTTTCATAAGGGGCTTTTCTCACTTCGCTCCTCATTCTTCTCTCTCCTGCCGCCATGTGAAGAAGGTCCTTGCTTCCTCTTTGCCTTCCACCATGATTGTAAGTTTCCTAAGGCCTCCTCATCCATATGGAACTGTGAGTCAATTAAACCTTTTTCCTATGTAAATTACCCAATCTCAAGTACTTCTTTACAGAAGTATGAAAATGGACTAATACAGTAAGTTTGGTCACTTTATATAGTTGCATACTTCTCAAGGCTTTGTTTATTCTTTTTCATTCTTTTTTAAAATTTTGTATGACTGGATTAATTTAAAAAACCTGTCTTCAAGTTGAGAGTCTTTCTTCTGTTTGGTCTAAGTCTGCATTTTGTAATTCCTTAATGAATTTTTCATTTTCAGAAGTTTTGTTTGTTTGTTTGAATATATCTGTCTCCTTGGTAAATTTCTCACTCATATTCTGAATTGACTTTCTGATTTCTTTGTATTGGTTTTCAGATTTCTCTTGCACCTCATTGAGATTCTCTGAAATCAATAAGTTTTTTATCTGGCATTTCAGAATTTCTTTTGGTTAGGATCCATTACTAGAAAATTACTGTTTCCTTTGGGGGTGTTATAATACCTTGTTTTTTCATACTTTCTGTATTACATTGATTTCTTCATAACTGAAGAAATCATAACTATTTCTTCTTATTTTTGAATTTACTTTTGGTGGGGTGAGACTTTTTTTGTCATAACTGAAGAAATCATAACTATATAGCTTCTTATTTTTGAATTTACTTTTGGTGGGGTGAGACTTTTTTGTCTTGAGGATGTTATTATAATGTATTTTTTGTTTGTTTTTGTTGTTTTTGAGACAGGATCTCACTCTTTTGCCCATTGGTTTTTGTTGTTTTTGAGACAGGATCCCACTCTTTTGCTCAGGCAGGAATACAGTGGCATGATCTTGGCTCACTGCAGCCTTGACTTCCCCAGGCTCAAGCAATCCTCCTATCTCAGCCTCTCAAGTAGTTGGAACTACAAGCACACGTCACCATGCCCAGCATTTTTTTTGTCTTTTTAGTAGAGATGGGGTTTTGTCATGTTTTCCAGTCTGGCCTCAAACTTCTGAGCCCAAGTAATCTACCTGCTTTAGCCTCCCAAAGTGCTGAAATTACAGGCACAAGCCACTGTGCCTGGCCCGATGTATGTTGGTAGGGCCTTTTGGCTTTGTTTCTGTGTTGTACATTCAGTGGCAAAGAACTCTGTATAATTTCCTTGTTTATAAATAGCTTTACTGTGGTGGCTTTCCCAAATGCCAGTTTTATGAGTGTTGTATCATGCTCGTGGTTTACCATGAGCAGGCTCATGACCTCCTGAGTAGCTGGGGTTGTGTGAGCAACAGTGGTAGCAGAGGTCAAGAGAAACTTATCTCTTTCCCAACCATGGTACACTTTGTGTTGGCAGATGTTGTATTAGGCTGTGCAGGTCAACCTCCAGGCCAGTAGGTGGTTCTTGCAGTTAAGAGTTTGTTACAGGGGTAGCAGTAGAGTTTATGCTAAATCCCCGTTAACCAGGAAAGGTACTCAGGTGTTACAGACAATGCTGCTGTGCTGAGGTGCCGGCCTGGGCGGGAACAGGTATTGCTGGCCTTTAAGCCAGGCAGTTGGGACTGGAACCCACCTTCCTTCCCTCTCAAGATGCAGTGGGGCTCAATCACCTGTCCTGACCAAGGGAGCTTTTCGGGATATTCAGTAAAAAGTCACACATTGTTTACTTTCAGTCTACAAGGCTGCCCTGGACCATAAAACTTGCTACCCAGGCCAAAACCATGCCTCTCAGGCAAATATCTTCCTTCTCTAGTCCCATGAAAGGGAGCCCAAGTTCATCATCCATGGCTAGAGTCCACACTATATTCATTTCTTGGTTCTGGCTGTGGGAGCCCCTCCCCCATTCAAGACACAATATTCCAATCCCTGGCCTGAGGCTTCCTAATGCCAGTGGATGCTGCTGCTGCTAGGTCATAGTATGCCACCCAGCTTGTTATGAGCTGAGATTGAGAATGGTGTCCACACCCAGCTCTGGGAAAACATTTGGTGTGCTTTCTGGCGCCATGTCTTCTCACAGTCTTCTGATTGCTTCCCAAGTTAGATCCAGGGATTGGGAGGGTCAAGGTGCTCTCCTGTGGCCTGGATTGCTTAGTTGCCCAGTGGAAAGGTGCATGACAGAGGGATACTCACACTCCCTCTCTCGTATTGGGGCTTCACTCGCAGTTTTCTGCTGGATTATACAATGCAGACTACTTTCCCACTTTCTCTTTCCCAGTGTCTGAAGTTTTCTTTTGTTTTTCTGTCAAATTCCTACATTATTTCTTGGATAAAAGTTCATGATGTGAATCTTTTATTTTACTTTTTTAATTAATTAATTTATTCGAAATGGAGTCTTGCTTTGTAGCCCAGGCTGGAGTGCAGAGGCACAATCTTGACTCATTGTAACCTTCATCTTCCAGGTTCAAGTGATTCTCCTGCCTCAGCCTCCCGAGTAGCTGGGGTTACAGGTGCACACCACCATGCCTGGCTAAGGTATGTATTTTTATAGAGATGGGGTATCACCATGTTGGCCAGGCTGGTCTAGAACTCCTGAACTCAGGTGATCCATCCACCTCAGCCTCCCAAAGTGCTAGGATTACGGGCGTGAAGCACACCCGGCCAACGGTGTGAATCTTTACAAGCTATTTTGTTTCTTCCAAGTGGGTGAGGTATGCTGGAAAAGCATTGTTTGCCATATCACGGTTTTTTGATAAGTTTTTAAAAACTTGCGTTTTTTTTTTTTCTAGTTACCTGACCATTTCTTCTAAGTTTCTTGGCCTATCCTAAGGAATAAATATAGTTCTAAGCCTTCAGCCTTGCTTTTTGTCTTCTCCTATTATATTTGGCCCGTCTACCTATTTCTGAGGAGACAAACAACTAATTAGAGTAAATTCCAATCTGCACATATGTGCTTGGTATGAATTTGTAAAACTATAAGAACTCAGTTTACATGCACACAGAAAAAAGTTACTCTGCCACTGTCAACATCATGAACATCAGCTTTGTCTTCCACTTCTGTGTCCTTCACTTCACTTCTGTCATTATCATCATTGTTAACATTTATTAAGTGCTTCCTATATGCCGGGACCAGTGTTAAATATCTGTCATCATATTTAATCCTTACAGCTACTAAAAGTACCATTATTATGCCCATTTTTCTGATGAGGAAACGGATGCAGAGAGGTTACACAACTTACAAGAGCTAAAAATGACAGAATACAGAGTTGAACCTATAGTTGTTTAATTTCAAAGATCAAACTTTTAACCACAATGCTATATTATCAGCAGCAAGACTACTTTTGTATCTGATATTTTCTCTATAGAAAGTATCTGAAGATTACAAACTAAGAAGATCTATGAAAACAGGAGAGCAGGAAGTATCCCTCCAAATGATAGAAAGTCTCAGGATTACTGAAAGGGGCATCAGAAATTATTTCATTTGGCTGTCCTCTTAAACAGAAAAACCGTGTACGGCATCTGTATGTGCCTTTCTAGTGGCAGGAACCTTACACTACTCATTGAGACAGCCTTCTTCATTACTGGGAAGATCTCATTTTTATCCCTATAGAAAAGTAAAATCTGCTTTCTTATGTAGACTACTAGTCTAGTCCTATTCTCTTGAAACAGTCAAAACACACTTAGTCTCCTGGCACCATAATTGGCTTTTAGAATTTTTAACATTCTCCTCCCTGAACCTTCTCTCCAGACTAATTAGTTCAGTTCTCCTTGGCTGGTTAATATTTAACCATGATGTTCAACTCTCTCTGATCCAGATACTGCATTAAAAACTCCTACATCCAGTGTTGTAGTTGGCAATTAGTCCTTGTCTTGACCCTGGTCTTTCCCTTGCTGTTTGTTATAAACAGCTATCTCAGTCTATTCCCTTGCTCCTCCTCAGAGCTGCATCCCTGTCCCATAGCCATGATATGTGGGGAGGCAAGTGTGACTACTTGATGCTGGAGGGCAGATATGACAAGCTCTGGTGAAACGCTAAAAAAGCAGCCTCCTTAGAAGACTTCCATGGGGAGACATGGTCATTTCTGCAGTTCCTGTGTACTCAGGATTCTTTTACCTTGGGTAAAGGCATGAAAACAAGGCAGGCAGGGTGCCTCCTGCATCTGCTCAGATTTCTGCCTAGGGCCTGCTCACCACTTAATTTGTGTGGGTACTGTCTTTCCTTGATCTTCTCCTTTCCATGTTTTCCCACTTTCCCACTTCTACCCTTATCTTCCTACCCCAAGCTCATTTCAGATACTTTGTAAAAAAACCAAAAGAACCTAAACTGTGTTTCTTCCTACTTTACTCTCATTCCACAGAATGCTTTTGACAACAGCTGTCTAGGGGTTTACCCCTACATACATCAAGGAAGCAATCAATTCTGCAATGGATTATCAAGTAAATACCAGCTAGGTGTCCTCTAATTTGATTCTGATACTATCTGAAGATAGTGTCAGATCCCACAGGTTGAGGGCTCAGTACTACAAGACTGCCCCTCTAATTTCAGATGCCAATCGAAAGCACAGGTTGTGGCCTGCACTTCTGACTGACTGGCTATAAACCAAGGTTCCTATAAACCCTCTTTGAGTTCAGTTAATTTGCTTCAGTGGCTCACAGCACTGAGAGAAACAGATTTACTCATTTATTATAACGGGTGTTACAAAGGATACAGATGAATAGACAGATGGAAGAGGTGCATAGGACAAGGCATTTGGGAAGGGATGCAGGGCCACCTCCATGTGCTTAGCAATCTGTAAACTCCCTGAACCCAGCCTTTTTGGATTTTTATGGAAACTTCATTACATAGGCATGATTGATTAAATCATTAGCCATTGGTGCTCAGCTTAACCTTCAGCCCCTCTCCCCTCCCTGGAGGTTGGGGGGTGGGGTTAAAAAGCCCAACCTTCTAATTGCAACTTGATCTTTCCTGTGAACATCCCCCATTTGGAAGCTACCTAGGTGCTGTCAGCCACCTCATTAACATACAAAAGGCACTCTTATTCTTATTGCCCCAGATAGTCCAACGGTTTTAGGAGATGGATATCAGGAAAAAAGAGGGAGACTAAATCTATATATCCTGATAGCACAGATATATTCCCTTAGAGAAAAGGGCTCTATATTAGATGGGCTTGAAAGATCCACCATCTCCATTCTCACTTTTGAACCTTTATCCCCTTCCCATTTTCCTTGGATCTGGAAGCACTCTGGGCAACAACTCCTCTTCTTGGACTTGGTCCTGCATCCCCTGTTAACTTTCTGTTCACTCCATATTCTCTTAACTTGGCTGGAGTTCATTTTATTCCCTTGCTGGGGAGCACCTTACGTATTAGTCTAATTTAAAAATAAGGAATTGACATATCAGAAACCTTAGTGAGTTGCTCAAGGTGGCGTAGCTTAAAAATGACAGTGTTAGGATTTGAATTCTTGACAGGTCAAAAAACTTTCACAATATTTTACAATTCTGGTCATGTTCCACTTTGTCAAAGTCCTTTTTAATGTGCAATGAATAAAGCTTAATGCAATTTCTTAGAATGTGTGTGACTGTACTGAAGTGCAAAAACATCTGTGTTCAACAAATAAGAAATTGCTTCTTAAATTTTATTTAAAATGCAATGACATTTCATGCCAGATCTTTAAAAAACAAAAATTAAATGTCATTCAAGAAGTCATTACAGCTTTGTTACCAAATAAATTTGTTTGAAATTTCTTGTATAAAGTTGAATCTAATTTTACAACTTTTTAATTAAGTAATCCTCAGCAATTTACACTGAGGATTTGCTCTCCCTCCTGCCTTCCCAAAGGGCTGGTTAGACTTGGTAAATTTAAATTTGATAACAGTTTCCTGAATTTGTGCTCTATTCCCAGCCAGAAAGAGAGCACATGTATATACGAAATGAGTGTGGGAGAGATGGAAAATCCCATCCCATCTCATTAGCAACCAATGAGTACCAAAAAAAAAAGTACAATGAATGAGAATTCATTATAGTAACAACCAACAGAAGAGTACAGTAACACTTTAATTCCCTCAGGAGATGCTATCCATCAAAGGGCTCTCCTTAGCAGTAGAATAACTGCTAATGCACAGCTGCGTTTGTATAAATGAAACATTGTGAGTGAGAGTTGTATTTAAGAAGAGCTATTGCTAAAATATAAAACTCAGATAAGATGTTCAATTGAAATGAGAACTTAGATGGAAATCAATAGTTGTTTAATGATGAATAATTCATTCATTATTCCAGGAGCATTTCGCTATTTGCAATATATATATTTGCCCATATAGAATATCAAAGAACCTCAAATGATCAAAACCATCTTGAAAAAGAGGAGCAAAGCTGGAGACCTCACACTTCCTGAGTGAAAAACATACTACAAAGCTACAGTAATCAAAGAGGTATGGTACTGGCATCAAGACAGACATGTAGACCATGAAACAGAATAGAGAGCCAAAAAATAAACCTTCACATATATGGTCAATGATCTTTGACAAGTGTGCCAAGTCTGCACAGTGGGGAAAGAATAGCTTCTTCAACAATTGGTATTGGGAAAATTGGATATCCACATTGAAAAAAATGGAACCTTATCTTAAAACAAAAAGAAACTCAAAATGGGATAAAGACCTAAATATAAGACCTTAAACTATAAAACTCATAGAAGAATCAGTAGAAAAGCTTTATACATTGCCATAGGCAATGCTTTCTTGGATATGACATCAAAAGCACAGCAAAAAAAGCAAAAATAGACAAATGAGACAACATCAAAGATTAAAACTATTACACAGCAAAAGAAACAACCAACAGAGTGAAAAGGCAACCTACAGAATGAGAGAAAATATTTGTGAACAAAATATCAATGAGGGGTTAATATCCAGAATATATAAAGAACTCCTACAAATCAAAAACAAAACAAATAATCTGATTTTAAAATGGGAAAAAGAGTTGAACAGACATTTCTTTAAAGTAGATATAGAAATGGCCAGCAAGCATATAAAAAGATGCTCAACATCACTAATCATCAGAAAAATGCAAATCAAAATCACAATGAGACATCACCTTCCACCCACTAGGATGGCTACTATCAAAAAAAAAAAAAAAGAAACAAACAGAAAGAATAAATTTTGGTAAGAATGTAGAGAAAATGGAACTTTTGTGCACTGTTGGTGGGACTGTAAAATGATATAGCCTCGATAGAAAACAGTATGGAGGTTCCTCAGAAAATTTGAAGTAGAACTACAGTATGATCCAGGAACTCCACTTCTGGATCTATACCCGAAATAATTGAGAATAGGATCTCAAAGAAATATTTGTATACCACATTCACTGCAGCACTATATACACAAGAGCCAAGTTGTAGAAGCCTTAAATATCCATGAATAAATGAATGAATAAAGAAAATATAGTATATATGCAATGGAATATTATTTAGCCTTAAAAAAGTTAGGAATCCTGCCATATGCTATAGTGTGGATGAAGTTTGAGGACATGGTAAGTGAAGCCAACCACAAAAAGACATATACTGGATGATTCTACTTATATGAGGAATCTAAATTAATCAAACTCATAGAAATAGATAATATAATGATGGTTGTCAGGGGCTGAAGGGAGGGGAAATGGGAAGTTGTTGTTTAATGGTTTAAGAGTTTCAGTTGGCTGGGCATGGTGGCCCATGCCTGTAATCCCAGCTACTCAGGAGGTTGAGTTAGGAGAATCACTTGAACCTGGGAGGTGGAGGCTGAGGTGAGCCGAGATTGTGCCATTGCTCTCCAGCCTGGGCAACAAGAGCGAAACTCTGTCTCAAAAAACAAAAAAAGAGTTTCAAGTCATGCAAGATAGAAAAGTGTTAGAGATATGTTGTACAACAATATGCATGTAGTTAAAAATACTATATTGTACACTTAAACTTGTTAAAAGGGTAAATTTATGTGCTTTTTGTCACACTAAAGATTTTTTTGAAACACTCACTATATGTCAGCACTGACGCCACAACCATAAAGAAAATGGATAAAGCATCATGGGAGAAAAGCAAGGTAGACAGGGCCCTCAGGGCAGAAAGTATTAACAGGTAGGAATATAGAAGCCATTTCAAATAGAACAGCTTGAATAAAGGGGCCAAGTAGGAGACAGACTTGTGGACTGAGGGGACTGTATGCAGTTTACTGTTGGTGGAGCATAATCTAAAGAACCAAATCTTGGCAGGCTGTGTAGGCTATGTAAAGGAGTATAACCTTTATTCCATAGATAACTGGAAACTATTTATCTATTTTTTATTGTTTATTTTTTTAGTCAAGTTCTTGCTCTGTCATCCAGGCTGGAGTGCAGTGGTGTAATCACGGCTCACTGCAGCCTTGAATTCCTGGCCTCAAGCAATCCTCCCTCCTCAGCCTCTGGAGTAACTGGGACTATACACATGCAGCACTACACCTGGCTAGTTAAGAAAAAAAAAAATTGTTTTGTAAAGATGAAGTCTCTCTATGTTGCTCAGGCTAGTTTAAAACTCCTGGCCTGAAGTGATCCTCCCACTTTGGCCTCCCAAAGTGCTGGGATTACAGGTGTGAGCCTCTGTGACTAGTCCCAAGATAAGGGAAATGATAATCGTTATTATGAATACATTAACTAGGCATTCATGTTTGATACTTCATAATGTAAAACACACTTTCACATTTTTTCCTCTTATTTGGTCCTCCCTAGATGCTACATTTTATGGGTAAGGACAAATGATATTACCCACTTACAGCTAGTGACAGACTCAGAATATGATTCCAGGTCCCTTAACTCTGAAACCCCTGCACAGACACTTGAGAACATGTCACAGTATTTGATGAGCTATGAGTGCTATTCAGATGTGAGCACTCATCACCAATGGGACTTATATCTGTACAGCTTTTCTAATGACATCATAGATTCAGAGAGGCAAAATGATTGCCCAGGGTCATACAGCTAGTGATTGGCAGTTGTTGTCTCCTGATGCTTTATCACATGATTGTTTCCTTCTTCCTGGGTACAACTACTCAGAGAAGATATACTGATTTTGTGTCAGCTGGCTCTTCTGTGCTCTGAGCATCAAGATGGTGGGCTATAAACCATAGTCTAGACGAACTCCATCTGTCCTGTGCTTCTTATCTCCTTATCAAACTAGGGTTTTGATTAAATAGCTTCCCAAATTTCATTTCTTATTGATTCCCCACATGGCTTTAATTTATTGCTAAAGTGACTCTTTGGAAATCCCATATTTCCTCTTTCAAGGACACAGAGGAGGGCAGCATAGAATCTTTCCTTTTTAAATAAGGTTGCTCCTCTTCTTCATTGTTCCCTGTGCCCCTTAAATGACCTCCATCCATCTATTTTTAGCTGCTATTGATTCTCACTTAACGGTCTTGTTCCTCCTAGATGCTGGAAAACACTTTGACTCTGTAGAAACTAAGTGTATGCCTGCTTCCTCTGATTGAATGTGTAAGCAAACTATAGGTATGTGCAGTATAAATACTCCATCCTACCCCTGGACCCTGGGTTGGTCTCACTAGAAAAGTGGTGTGGGAGTGTAAGTAGGTAAGCTTCCTGTTTAAAAGAGCATTAGACCAGGAGTCAAAAGACTCTGGTACAAGCCCCAGTTCCAGCATATCCTAGTAGTATGATTATGTTCCTCTGTGGGCTCAAGTTCCATGTCTGAAAAGAAAAGGGGTGGTAATAGGTGACCCTAACAGCTTTTTAATGTTTCCTTTCACAAATTATGTTTCTGAAATATCTGTTGCATAATGTTAATACATTGTAAAATTATAAATAAATGACATTTTGGAAAAGTATCTTATAAATGGAAAAGACTTTCACAGATGCTTATTGTTCTGATGATGCTATAACTGAATTCCTAGGTCTCCACAAACTTCCAGGGACCCAATATCTTCACATTAGGAGACAATTCTAGGTTTCTCCTAATCTTTGCTCTGATTTAGCCATGGAGCAAAGCTGCTAGAAAAATAAACTTGATTTGGCAGAAAAAGGAGATCATGTCAGCATTAGCCAAGGGGAATAAGAAGGAAGATTTAGGAAATAAGTTTTGGCATTAGCCAAAAATGAATACAGGTCAAGTTTAGAAAAGTTTCAAAATCACTTCAGTACCTCAGTTGAGAGAAGTGGGCAAAGAAAAGTCTAGAACTGTTGGGAAGAGGGGCAATCTGTATGTGTTTGGGGGAAGGAGAAAGTTTTGGAGTTCACAATCAGCTTTTCTATTCCTCTGTTTTCAGCCTAGCTCCCTTAACTGAGACTGGGATAAATATACTGAATTACAACAACTGGTTCTGAAATTAAAACAAAAACAAAAACAAAACAAAACAAAAAATAAACCCTCTAACTACTGGGATGGCCCTATAAAGGGGCAGAGCCTTAGGAATGAAGGTCTAATACAATTATTATAATTGCTGTTATTATTATTACTTCCTCCATTGCCTACTTTTCTTCATTACATTTCTCTCCAATAAAAACTGTCTTTTCAGTTAAGGCAAACCTGCTTTTGACCCTTTCCAAACACAAACCCCTTCCCTGACACTATCCTTATACATATTCTTTTGCTGCATTAATAGAAATAGAGTGTATAGGATGAAGAAAATGAAGGTTCTGCTTCACCCTTCCCCCAGTGAGTAGGCTTTAGGAATTTGTTATCTGCATTTGGGCCATACACTGCACCTGCGTCACTGACAAAAAAATCAAGTAAAGGAGTATCAGCATAGAGATGAGTCTGGAGGCCAGTACATTCTGGAAAGAGTAGAAATAATTGAAAAAGTAATAGGTATCCCAAATAGGACTAGGACCAATGGGTGAAAACTTTATAAAGAACTTTCTGAGCATTAGACTTTAGATGGAGAGGAGAGGAGAGGAGAGGAGAGGAGAGGAGAGGAGAGGAGAGGAGAGGAGAGGAGAGGAGGTAGGAACCAGGTGGGCGGAATGGGAACTGAGGGAACAAACCTATTTGATGGATTGTTTTTTCCGCTTGATTCCCCAATCTGGGGAGAGCTTATGATCTCAAGATGAATGCACTATTCTTAGAAGAAAATAAAATTCTAGCATAATTTCTGCAGGTATTGTTATGTGATTAGGGCAAATAGCTTTTTTAAAAAAAGACTATTTAGAAATGGTCTCAGGAGGCTCTGGGCAGGAGCGAACTATAATGCAGTCTCAGGATGATGATCCTGTCATTGGAAGTCTATCAGTGGCAGAATCCAAATTCTCTTACCCTACCTGATTTAGCAGAACTGACTGACTGGCACAACACATCTGGAAAGGACTGCGGCAGATCAAAAAGCAGAATGATGCTCCTTTGAGGGAGGATCAAAAGCCAGGATGGTGCTCCATTGAGTTGATGCTCCATTCCAAACAAGAGCCAAAAACCACACAGCTCTGTAGACATACATTCACCATTCACTGAGTATCTCCTTTCTTTCTTTTTCTTTCTTTCTTTTTCTTTCTTTCTCTTTCTTTCTTTTTCTTTCTTTCTTTTCTTTCTTTCTTTTTCTTTCTTTCTTTCTCTCTTTCTTTTTCTTTCTTTTCTTTCTTTCTTTCTTTCTTTCTTTCTTTCTTTCTTTCTTTCTTTCTTTCTTTCTTTCTTCTTTTTATTTTCAAGGTCTCATTCTGTTGCACAGGCTGGAGTACATACTTGATCACAGCTCAATGCAGCCTTGACTTCCCGGGGTCCAGTGATCCTCCCACCTCAGCCCCCCAAGTAGCTGATATTATAGCACATACCACCATGGCTGGCAAATTAAATTTTTTGTAGAGATGGTGTCTCCCTATGTTGCCCAGGCTAGTTTTAAACTCCTGGGCTTAAGCGATCCTCCCACCTCAGCCTCCCAAAGTGCTGAGTTACTCCACTCAACCTCATTCCTGCTCTTGATTCTTTTAGCCACTAACTTTGCCATGCATGCTATTGATATTGTCTTTCACTCTATATTATCCTTTACTTCAACTCTTACTTCTCATTTTACATTTGTATAATTAATTATAATAACAATAATAACAGCTATACTTTTAGAATACGTAGCTTGCTCCATGGCTTCTTGAGAGGGATTATATGTATTATATATACATTTCATTTAATTCTTACAACTATCATATGCCTATGAGTTAGTTATGGTGTTAACTCAGTTTTACAGATGAGGAAACTGAGAACTGAGGCTAGGAGAGGTTTGGTATTTTGCCCCAAATCACTCAAGAAGGAAGTGGTAGAGTCAGTTTAGAAAACATACCATCTCTCTGACTTGAAAGCCCATGCTTTTCTACCTGGGCTATACTGTCACACTAAAAATTGATTTTTTTTCTTAATGATTCTGATGATTTTTATTCTCCTTGTAGGTGACCTTGCCTGCTTGGTCTGCCTTTGATGAAGCCTTAGGTCATACCCTATCAGCAGTACTCCCCAACCTATCACCTCCACCCACAGCCCAGCTTCTCCCACCTTGCAGGCAGCTCTCAGACAACAGGCACTGAAAAGCTAGAAGTTCAAGGAATTCAAAATGTATTTTCTAGAACAAGGAGTTTACCACAGCTGCCCCTTCTGTGGACACATGATGCCTGTCTCAGAGAAGATGCATTCTTGGTTGTTGTCTAACACAGAGGGGATCCAAGAATTTACTTCACTCTAAGAGATCTTTATCTTCTCACCTTACCATAGTGCATTTGTCCCACAGAATTGCTGGTTTTATAAGTGATGAGCAGATTTACTTAAATATATTTATTTAAAGCTATAAAAATAAAATTAATTCAAATCATTGTTCCAAAGAAACCCAGAACAGGGCCGTGCCTGACTTGGCTTCCAAGGAGAGAAAATTATTCGTGATATGTCAGAATCCAGCTCTTACCGGAACCACACATGCATGTAGGCATGCATATACGCAAACACACACACAAACAACACACCACCCAAACCTGAAGGTGTTTTCCAAGAAAACCAGATGAAGAGAATCTTCATTACCAGAAGCAGGGAGTGAGTCAGTGCTGGGCAGAACAACTAAGCAGGCAGTCTTAGTAGGAGAAATGCCAGGGCATGTGTAAAAGAAAAGCAGCAAGTTCACCCATGGGGACCCTGGAAATCATTTAATCCAGCACTAACACATATATTCCAGTAATTTTAAATGTTTCACCAATTTAATATTTTAAAACTCATATAATTACTGATCTCTAACTTGGTTAAGAAATTAAATGTATATCATCTCATTTCACATAAATGAGTTTGAAATGAAACAGATAAAGAAGTAAAGAAACTATATAGATGAAGTACTAACTTCCTATCTGTCCAACTTTAATTTTCTTCCTAAATTATATTTTGGTTGAAAGAAATAATTTCTACTCCCAATTCTTGTCACTCTCTGCTGGACCTCTGTCAACATCAAATTTACTATGAAGGACCCAGATATAGATAACACAGTACAGTGGGGGAAAGGTGGAGAAGTATCTTCCTCTCCCTCATTTTTGATACTCTATTTCTATTTATGTTGCAAAGATATTTAATAGTGGGTGCATTAATAGAGGACATTATGGTATGGGAAGAACAAAGTTTAGCCTAGTCTGGTAATGTGCAATTCACAGAGATAAGACAAACAATGGTGAAGGCTTGATCAGAGAAGGGCAGATTGGCCAGTGGGGATTATGAGTTGAGGACTGATTAGAGATTATGCAAAAGTGGTCAGCTGGGAACTTTATTAAGATTTTAACTACCATGTTTACAAATAAGACAATTAATCCTATAAGTAAGGAAAAACTTTACATAGGTTTTCAGAAAAGGATCAACATAATCTGATTCATGTTTTGAATAGCTCATACTAACACTAGATGGAAAATAGATGTGAAGGGGACAAATTAAAGGTAGGGAAACCAATATGATGACTGGTACAATAATCCATGCAAGAGAATAAACTTCATGAGAGTCATTGGTATTCCCAGTGTATCACTGCTATATACATCTCCAGGACATAAAATATAGAATATACTCAATAAATAGCTATTAAACAAAAAGTGGTTTATGTTCAAGTGAAAAGTGTAAGACGGGGAGAGATTGGCTAGTGGTCATAGTGGTGACATTCATCCATAGGTTTCCAGATAACTCTCTTTCCAGGTCATTGTCCAGATTGTGCCAGCTAGCTGCCTAGATTGAGCTCCTTTTCATTGAGTATTTATTATTTTCAGGCCCCATTCTTAGCATCATTGTACAAACATGATCTCCTTTCATCTATTTTTTAAAAGTCTCTAAGGATTAAATATTGTTATTTCTCAGTTTATATGTGAACAAAGCAAAGTATCTCCCTTAGGTCATGCAGCTACTAAGTTATACCAGGATTTGATCACAAGACTGACTCTTAAGCTTCTGATTGCTCCACTGTAGTCAGAAGTGTGGGTGTCACTTGCATAATTAAACAGGAAATTTTACGTATCATATTTCCATACACATTCTGAAGAGGTTTCTATCTCACAGTCTCCACAAACAATAGCAGCACAATATGAACACTGTGCAAATGTATTTTTAATAAACTGCCTCAAAATTTGCTATATGCCTTAACAAGCTTTTGTAATCTCAGGAGGCCTTATTAGATAAAGATGTTTTAGAAAATCCCCCATCCCTAACTACTTGAAAATGCGTTAATCATTTTAAATCTCCCCAACCCCTTGCCAACCCCCAACAGCCACAGGCAAAAAGTCATATTGTTTGGCTTAATGAAAATAAATGTTGCCCCTTCCCTTATAAAATATCTTTATATGAACTTACACAAATACTGAACACAAGGTGAGCCCTGAAAATCTTCTAAACAAATAATAAACCCAACTTAGCCCTGCTGTGAGTCCTATGTGGTTATAATTCTACCCTTTCCTTTGCTCTAGCTAAGTTATTTGAAAGTATATTACTTTTTCACCCTGGATATGCTATTTTATGTGCCTTTGTTTTTAATATGACCATGGAAATAGCAGCATAATATCCTTTTCCTTCCTGATGTTGCCCTCTCCTCTTTAGAAAATGAATTTTCCACCTTTCACTTAGAAGTACCCTGCCAAATGGGTGTCCTGCTTAGTGCCCAAGTCCGTCCCCAGCATGCAGGCAAGATGTCTCTCAGGGATAGAAAAACAACATTCCATCACATCCATGTAATTGCTTTTAAAATGCCCATTGCTTTTATTAGTAGCTGTTCCATTGCTGTCATAGGATAATCATAGTTTCTTTGAAATGTCTCTCTTATTTTTCATTTATGTGTTCAGAAAATATTTCAATTACACAAACATGCAGTTGATTTAGAAAGACAGTTCTCATTCATCCACAACCAACCCACAATTTCAGAATTTTTAGTAATTGAGTGAAAGAATAAAGTTTGCTTCCAACAAAAGGCATAAGAAATACAAAGAGTATGAGGAAAACACTAGTTTTGTCAACAGGATCACAACAACTCTGAACTTATGGTTCTTCATGTGTAAAATAGGGATAACAATCTTATAGGGTTTTTATGAAAATTAAATATTATATGTGAAAATGCAGGCACAGTTCTTGGTAACTAAAAAAATACCTCAACAAACAGTAGTAATACTGGTAGTAGTGGTTGTTACTGTTGTTGTTTCAAGATAAACATTAAACCTTCATTCTTTATTTATCACATTTTTTTGAACATATGTCACACAGTCCCCCTTGGAAGAAGCTCTCAGTGTAGTAGGGCAGACAGACAAGTAGGTAGTTAACTACTCTGCAATTTAATAACTCTTATTATAATAGAGGTATATAAGAACTGCTATAAACACAGATGTAAGAATTTAAATAATAACATATTTATTTAGCATTTTCTTGCTTTATCATTTTCAAATCACACAACAACCATTTGAAGTAGGTTTAAACTACCAGTTTAATAGATAATCATCATCACCACCCTGGCAGCTACCATTTGCTACACGACTATTGTGTCAGGCCATGAACTAGAAGCTTTACATGTATTATCACATGTGATGTCACTCAATCATCACAAAAACCCTGCAAAGTAGCTACTCTGATCCTGATTTTACAGATGGTGAAACTAAGATTCAATGAGTTTTAGTGACTTCCCCAATCATACAACTAGTGAGTGATGTAGTCTGGATATGGAAACAAATCTGTCTGTCTCCATGTCACAGTATTTCCTCTATTCACAGTTGAGTCACAGATACAAACCAGCTCAGAGAAAATTACACTGGCAAGAAGAAGAAATTTTCTCTCATATTTTCTAAATATCCATCTTGAATAAATAATGTGTAAAAGAGGATGACAATTAGTACCCTGATCACTAGACTAGATATGAATCTTATCCTTCCAATTTATCCCATTAGTTGCAATTCAACAAAGCTACGGCATATAAAAAGATTAGTTTCACAAATAAGTGGCCATTGAATAAGCTATTACACCAGCTCAAATAGTCTATGATCGAGTCTGAACACTGACGTTATCAATTCTGGCATTCTATCTTCCAGAAATTATATTTGCCATCTAGAATATAGATTAGATAACTTTCAGATGGCTTCCAAACGAAACCAAATGTTTAAACAAGCTGCTAACCCTCAGACATGAAAGCTAAAAGTGTTAAGGAAAACCTTTAATTATATTACTGCAAACCAAACCAAGACAAGAACAAATTTCATTATAGGAACCTGGTAGTTCAGAGGTAGTCTGCAATACTCTCTCAGATCACTGATGACCACACCCTTGCTTCTGCCAAATGTTGTCCCCCTGAGGTAACAATTAAGTTATTTAATTTGGCCCTGTATAGAGTTGTGTAGTCTATCATGCTGCTTTTAGTCCTTGGTAGCTAGGAAACTTATAATTGAGTTTTCTATTAATTAACAGCATCTAGGTTAATTGTAAGGTTAGCATGTTTACCTTTTCCATCCTTTACGCATGTTAAATAATAGGACTCCATTTTTAAAACAAGTAATAGCAAAAGCATTTATTTTTATTTATTATTGAATTATTTTATAAAATAAAGAACAGTCTGATTTTTCCACATACTGAATTTATCATCAGTGTTTGAATTTCATTTATTCTTTTAAACAATATTTACTATATACTTACAAAGGACTATGGCTTTGTCTATGCTGAACACTGTCCCTTTCCTTCAATGGTGGAGAAGGGTAAATAGATAAAACACAATATGACAATTACTACTAGTACTATAATATGATAATTACTAAAATTATTTGTGAGCTGCACAGAATGGAGAACAAATTCATCCTTTCACATCTACATTTATCTTAGGCTTACCTTTCTTGATTAGCAGAGATATTGACTGCTGGATCAATGTGGCATTTTGAAGTATATCTGACATAGTTTGAATATACATGCCTGCCAAATCTTGTGGTGAATTATAATCCTCAGTGTTGGAGGTGGGGCCTGGTGGGAGATGTTTGGGTCATGGCGGCAGATCCCTCATGGCTTGGTGCTGTCTTCGTGATAATGAGTGTGTTCTCATGAGATATGCCTGTTTGAAAGTGTGTGACACCTCCCCCCACCCTTGCTCCTATTTCCGCCATGTGAGACGCTTGCTCCTCATTTGCCTACTGCCATGATTACAGGCTTCCTTAGGCCTCCCCAGAAGCAGTTGCTGGTGCTATGCTTCCTGTACAGCTGGCAGAATTGTGAGCCAATTAAAACTCTTTTCTTTATAAATTAGCCACCTTCAGATATTTCTTTATAACAATGCAAAAACAGCCTAATATAATATACAAGAAACTCAAGCTCCTTGGTGCTCTGAGTGAATTAAGAGGTTTGAGATCCGGGCAGGCCAGCTTATATACCTCCTTAGGAAGATTTCTCTGTCTCCTGCAATCCATAGGGATCTCTCTAGCTCTGCATCCTGAGGTATTCTCTCCAGACCAGACACAAATGGCTCTGAGTATTTGATGCAGCCCACCATAGCAGACAGTTCCTGTGGCCCCCCAACCTGGGTATAAGCCATTAAGAGCTTAAGTTTAATTTACTTTGTATGCCAAGCACCTCTCTTCAAGCTTAAAATTTAAATCAGTTTAGCAATAATTTATTAAGCTCCTACTTTTTCTTGGACGCACAGTAATAAAGCTCCCTATCCAGAGTTCAAGACTAGCAGGAGAGACAGACACATAAACAGAGTTAGAACTGTGTATAATGGTAGTAGGGTATGTCTAGGGTGTCTAGCCCATGGTAGGTAGGGCTTATAATTTATTTGGGAAATAATTTTAGTAATGCTAGGCAATTCAGAATAGTAAGAAACAAAGACTGGAAGAAAAAGGTTGGGAAATAACCCAGTAACCTACTTAACATCCAGTACACGATGCACAAAAATGGGGCTGGTGTAATTGGAGCAGAATTTTGTCCTAAGCATCCTATGTGGTAAACAATTTGAATGGATATGGGATCCAAGTCTGAGGCTAAATAAAAGCAGGTGGTAAAGATTCTGGGAGACCAGTTCTTTCACGGCAGTACAGAGAGAGAATTCTGCCTCTCCAGGTGTGGGACTGACTGTGGCAGGTTTATCAGAACTCTAGCTCAACATGTTGAGATACAGACTTGAGCACCAGTCTTATCCAGTCCTGTGGAAAATTGTAATGATAAACAATGAAACTGAGGCACAAGTCAAGTTGCTTGTGGTACAGAAAGGCTCTCCATGACCATGCAAATTGCTTAGGTTCCCCCACTTATCCTTATATCCAGACACGTTGGAGACTATGTTTATAGCAGAAGACTAATTTTACACACCATCTGCTGGTAGACTGAGACTAGTAATAAGCCTCCTGTTTAGAAAAAAGATTGAAATGTAGTCTTGACCTGAAAACCTTGAGATTGAAGCGGTGGGTAAGGGATAAAGGGAGTATCAAGTATATTTGTTGCTGAAACATTTTTGAAAGTTGGGAAAAGCAATTCTCAGTCTCTTTCTTATGAAGACAAAGGGAAGTTATTTGTTCTCATTTGTCTGAAGTTGTCAGCAGAGACACCATCATTCACTGCCATTTTAAAATTTGAGGGTCATGAAACAGTTGTGATAGAAACTTGAGAAAGTAAAAAACTCACTCCATTTTTCTCCACTGAAATTCTCTCATCTTCTACTTATATGTAGATTCATGATTTTTTTTGTCTCTCAGGAGAGCCACAAGGAACCTGTCAGAAATATTCCAGCATATGCAAATCCTAACTAGACAGACAAAAATAATATTTGTTCTGTTCCTCATGTGCTCTGTGGGAGTTTTGCCTTGTTTGCATGATTGATCAGTTTGCATATTACTTTTAAAAATCATTTTTCAAAGGCAGACACAAAGCTGAAATTAAGAGGAGTATCTAGGGCTGGGCTGAATGTAAGGGCACCAAATCTAGAATAAGTCCTTTTAATTACTTATGAATATTCCTCCTGCACATATCAGATGATCACTCCTCAAAGATGAACTGAATGGTAAACAGCCTCTGTTTTTTTGCTGATTGATTAGCAGTACTCCTATGTCTAAATATGCTGGAGGTTATGTAAACTGCCAAAGACCTGCCAGAATTCCTATACATTCTCAGGGTTCACTTCTGTTTTTTCTCAAGAGTTCATGATGTTTCTGATCTTCCTTGCTAGCCAGTTTCTGTACTCTTTTTCACATTCTCTTCCCATATCAAACTTTAACAAAGAACCTCCATCACTGTGGATTCTTCAGACAGGTACCCCTCTTTGCACAAGTCTGGACACAATATGCTGGGTTACAATTCCTCTTCTCTATCTTCACCTCGACCGCGTTTGCTCAAGCTTCATCATCCCTTTCTTGTATTACTGAAGTAGTCCTCTAATTTGCCTTCCTGTGGTCATTATCCTTCCTTCTCCCTCTTTCCCCCAATTTTTTCCTCCTCCCATTCCAGAAGTGTTGATTACTCCATTGATAGTGACATGATATATTATTATCCCTCATTTATCATGAGGAAACTAGAATTCAGGGAGCTCTCATAATTTGCTCAAGGCCACATGGCTAGTAGATACAGTATAAAACATCTGAGATCTGCAAGCATATACTGACTTCCGTTACTTTGCCAGTATCAATTCTAGGTTCTGGAAGCACAAATATGACTTAAGATATCTGATCATATCTAACTCTGAGAACCCCACCATGGAGGAGACACTCATACTAACAGTAAATTACAGTACAATCTGGAAAGTGCAAGGCTAAGTGGCAATGTCAGGGTTTGAACTTAAGTCTCTCCCAGTTAGACCACTGGTTGCCAATCTCTGCAAAGACAAAAGCTTTTATTATTTAATTTTATTCATTTTTTTCTAATTTCAACTTTTAGACTCAGAGGGTTACAGGTGCAGGTTTGCTACATGGGTGTATGCTAAGGTTTGGGATATGAATGATCCTAACACACAGATAGCAAGTTTAGTACCCAAAAGTTAGTTTTCAACCCTTTCCCTACCCTCCTTCCCCTCTCTATTAGTCCCCAGTGTCTACTGTTGCCATCTTTATGTCCATGAGAACCCAATGTTTAGCTCCCACTTATAAGTGAGAACATACAGTATTTAGTTCTCTGTTCCTATATTAATTTGCTTGGGATAATGGCCTCCAGCCGCAACCATGTTGCTGCACAGGGCATGTGTTTGCTCTTTTTTATGGCTGTGTAGTATTCCATAGTATATATTTCCATAGTATATATATATCACATTTTCTAGATAAAGGGCTTTTAAGTGTTTCCTCAAGTTTCTCATAATATTATTTGTATTTTTATTCAACTAAGAACAAAACAATGGCAAAAAGTTACAATTAAGTCAGTAAGGCTTTCAAATGAATTTATATTTTATTAATAACAATACTATCAATGTCCATTTGAATCCACATCTTTGTGAGATATACTATTGTTTCAGTGTAACAGAGAGTGAGTGCCCAGCCATGTATGAATTTGGGACCCACTTGCAATAACCGTATGGCTCCCCCTCGGTCCTTTGCCCATTCACTGGGAATTAATGCCAGCCTTGCAACCTCTTCTCATACAAAATACCTCCTAACAGGGTTCTGCACTGTTGACAACTAGAGAGCCAGGATGTAACATGCTTATGTAGAAGTCAAGCAAGCATGTGCCCCTATTAGACCTTGGAGAGTGACAAGAACCTTCAATTTCTCCTTTAACCCATCTAGACATCCATACACAGAAAACGAAGCAGAGAGAGAGAGAACTACTATTTCTTGGTGGCTGCTCTGTGCTAGTTATGTAATTTATAATCTAAGTTATATCAAGTCTGGTGTTTAAAGCCTTTTAGCAGAATCTTCCCTCCTCCTATTTAGCCTAAGTTCTGAACTTTCCCTTCCTCCACCCCCATTTACGTTTTTCTTTCTTATTTTTCCCAAACATAATTTGCTCTTTTACATTTCAATGCCTTTGCTGAAGCTATTATTTTGTCTGGAAAATGCATGACCAGTTCCCATTTTCTTTTTATCTTGCTTAACTCTTTCACACTTCAAGATTCAATTTCTTTTTGAAACCATCATAATCTACATAAAAAGTTGTTCTCTCTCTGATCTATGCACCCACCTTACACTTGATCTGTCCTTCTTATAGCACTGAGCACATTATATGATATTCACTTGTTTACATGTATCTTAATCACTGGCCTATGCTCTTTTTGTGGCTGAGTGCATCTCATTTTTCTTGAATTGCCAGTGTATAAGATTGTGCCTGGAACATAATACACACTCAATAAAAGATGGTTGAATGAGTGAATAAACAAATGTCTTCATAATCTTTGGCTGCATCTGTCAACATTGATAGAATCTTTTCTGAAACTTTCTGCTTTAAGTCTGGAGAATGAATTATGACTTTTGTCCTGTTATTTGTCATTTTCTAACCTATTCATCTGTTGATGATCATAAAAGTCTAGGATATTAGTGTGGGAAGAGATCTTAAAGGCCCTCTAATCCAATCTTCCTACCAGGGCAAAATCCCCTTTCTGTGATCAGAAGTCATTCATTCTCTGATGAACAGAGTTGATTGCCTTATAAGGGAATTCAATCCTTCTTTAGTGGTATTATTAGGAATGTCAAACTGTATCTATAATTTCTCCCTACTGATTCTGTTTCTGCTCTTGAGACTATACTATTTACATGTATTTTCATCTTCATGTCATCCTTTCACCTATCTGATAACAGATTGAGAAACTAAGGAGTCACTTGTGAAGGCATTCTGGGACCTCAGAAACCCACCCTGGTTTCTGGGGTCAAGCTAAAAGGAGGCAGATTGAGCTTTAGAGGCAGCTGGCAAGAACAGTCAAGTGTTTAGTGACCAAGACATTGGCAAATGTGGGCTTAACCCTGGAAGGCACCAAGATTCCAGGAGATAGAAAACAACAGATACAGCCTAGCTGAAAGAAGGGGAGATAGCATAGGCAAAAACAATGATGCTATCAAAAGCAGTCCAGTAATCTAAGAGGATAAAGTGCAAGAGGGTACATAGAGTAGTGAATGTAAGACTGGAGAAGTAGTCAGAAAATGGAATCTCAGAGAAGTGAAGTAACTTATCCAAAGTTACATAGCTGGATAGGGGAGCAAGTTGGCTCTAGCAAAAGTCTTTTGGGTGCAAGTCATTTTTGCTAGTTAAGTAGTCTTTATATTGTCTCACAACACCCTGTTAGCTCACCCCTCAGTACCAGTCATAAAATGATTATTCAAAAATAACTCACTAGATTAAGTTTAACTGTCTCACTAGAACCTCTGCATTGCAGTAGCCCCTCTGATATGGTTTGGCTATGTCCCCACCCAAATCTCATCTTGAATTGTAGCTCCCATAATTCCACGTGTCATGGGAGGGACACAGCGGGAGGTAACTGAATCATTGGGGCAGGTCTTTCCCATACCACTCTCATGACAGGGAATAAGTCTCACAAGATCTGATGGTTTTATAAAGAGGAATTTCCTGCACAAGCTCTCTCTTGCCTGCCACCATGTAAGCTGTGCCTTTCACCTTCTGCCATGATTGTGAGGCCTCCCTAGCCATGTGGAACTGTGAGTCCATTAAACCTCTTTTACTTTATAAATTACCCAGTCTCGAGTATGTCTCTATCAGCAGCATTGGAATGGACTAATACACCCTCCATGGCTCCCATGGCTGGCTCCTAAAACAGGTTTATACCATAAGGGCACTTAGATCAGAGTTTCCAGATCAGAAGCCCATCCAGTACTACTGTATACTCCCTTTTCTATGATGCACAGGATTGTCACCCATCATGGGACAACACATTCTTCTTTAAATATGTCAGTTTACTGTTAGTCTTATGGATCTGGAAGCATCTTTAAAGGTAGTTTGCATATGTCTCCCCAGTGAGTTTTAAGTTTAACTTCAGGAAAATCTAATATCCATTGTTCTATTCTTATTAGGAGATGCCTCATTTTTCTCCTTTTATAATACAATACAATTATCAGTCTTTTCTTTTGAAAGAAAATATCTGAGTTTTGCCACAGTTTCACCCCATATCATGATATTCATGAAAGCAGCCGAAAAGTGACAAAAAATTTATACTATATGGTGCAACCTATTTAAGATAATGCATGATACACATAAGGCTGACATGGACAAATGATTCCTATATTGTTACTGTAGGCAAAGGATTCAATACAGACATAAAAGAAAACCTCCCATCATATAGCAATGTCCAGAATCCCTAAATAAATAGAATATTTGCTGGCCTGAGAAAAGCTTATAGATGTGACCATATTGAAAGAGCAGTTAATTTCTAAGCAATGTGTTTAACTCACTTCTTGTTGATTACTTTCTTGGAAAATCAGCAGAAAAGTTTCGTTGTCAAAGATTCCAGAAATGCTCCTTTGACATAGTGCTAAGCAAGACATTTGGGTTGCTTTCCATTAGTCAATCTAACAACACTCCCTCACTTTTCTCTGAAATCCTTTGCAACCATTTATTTTTGTTTAGGTAATAAAAGGAATCTTGTCTCATAATCTAAGGGTAGCTTCAAAACATTTTAGTTTTTGTTTTTTTTTCTTTTCATATGGACAGAGATAACCTATGTAAAGCATGGCTAAGTATCTGGCCCACAGATAGCTATTAACATTCATTGGCTGTATTTTAAAATAAACCACAAAAAGTTCAACTTGATTACAATGTCTCAGATACATTCTCAAATAGCTACAGATTTTTGTCTTACTGTCCAGAACTCATTGTTCTCAGGGCTAAAATGAATTGGAACTTGGAAACTAACATGATGAATCTCTTAATAATTGAATTATACTTCCTTTTTCCCTGTTGCTTTTGCAGGTCACTGCTTTTCCTGTGTGATAAGTTCTGTGTAAAATTGTTCCCCTGTTCAGGTTCTTTCCATCAGTATGTAATGGAATGAACATGATCCTTGTCATCATGAAGACTTGCTTTGAATCCTGGCTATGCCACTTACCAACTACATTGCTTTGGGTAATTTCCTTAACCTCTTTGAGATTCACGTTCTTCCTTGGTAAAAGGAGAATATCTGTCTTTAAAAATTATAGAAAAGATTTGATTATAAGACATCTATGATAGAGCTTAATATAATTCTTGGCATATAATATATGCTTAATAAATATTACTTTTTCTTCCCTTTTTCCACCTATTGCCCACCACAACATCCAGTGGTGGTTCTCAGAAGAGAGTCAACTACTCTGCTCTGAGCAGATCTTGTCAGCATGTCTGGTGCCTTAGGACCCAAAGAATCTCTTTACTCTGCAGTTCTCAGAGAGACCAGTTTTTGAAGCCACAAAGATATAGGTTTGCATCTCAGTTCCCTCACTTCCAAGCTGAGTGTGAACTCAGGAAAACCCCTAAACTTTCAGAGGCTCTGCTTCTTCATCTTTAAATAAAAACATTACCTATGCCATAGGTTTGCTGTGCTATGAAGATTAATGCAGGAAAAGCATGGAATGGAGATCTTGACCATCATAAACAAACTGTAACTTTTTCACTTAATTATTAAGAATTCATGAGGGTTCCTTTGTCTGCCCAGTCTAAGCTAAATATAGTGGGCAGAAATTTAAAAGAACGCAACCAAAAACCTATTTCCTGGTCTCCAATAGCTCACAATCAGAAATAAGGTGCTCAGTAAATTAAAGCTAAAGAAAACTTAGGGAAGTATCTAGAAATGCATTTAGAGATATCTCCTCACAGTGCATTTAGTTTTAACGGGATTCCATTGTGCTATATGGCATAAAGGGCAAACATCTTGGCTTTGTGAAAGATTTTTGTTTCAAAAAAAACAAAAGAATCAATCAATCAAATCTAAGCATTATAGCTGAGTCTTAAAGGTCATCTCTAACTCCCTGAGATTATAGGATCCCCACTTCAACATCCTCTAGAGGAGACAGAGTGCTCAATGCCTTCAGAGGCACTGAAGTCCTCACTGACAGCTTCTGATTGCTGGAAAGTACAAGCTCACATGGAACTACAAGATAGTACTCTCCATATTTCATTTATTTAAGTGGCTTCCTCATCCTTAAGAAAGTTCTTTGAAAGGAAAGATTAAATTTCTTCAAAAGATAAAACTAAAATGCAGAATTTACAAAGGAGAATGCACTATCAATAGCCATGAACTTCTCTTGCATAATATTCCCTTGCATCGCATTTCACCGTTTACAAACCATATTCTTATTTACTGTCTTATTGATGATCCTCAGAGAAACCTTGTGAGGAAAGTATCTTCACTATTTAAAAATTTATTTTTTTTCACATTTTATTTTTTCTTTGAAAGAGAATTTTGTCTTACAGTCAACACAGTATTTCCTTTTGTCCTGAAAAGTTGATAGATCAATATAAACCTCATTAAATTATTGTATATTGGACATACCTTAGCATAAAAACATATACACTTTTTAATTTTTAGAGACACTGGAAGCTAAAACACAGAAAAAGTGTTTAACCCAATGACCCAGAGCAAGTGAGTGGAAGAATCAGGGCTGAAATATCTACTTCTGCATAGCATTCTTTTTTACCATTCAGCTCTGGTTCAGGGTTAGCAGGCAAGATTGCTCTTACTAACGGAAGGGCCTAATTCCTAATTAGGGCCTGTCTGAATCATTTAATTGCAAGAACCATTCTATCAACCAAAAATATCACTTGACCTATTATTCTGTTCATTCTATGGTCTGAAATTTCCATCTATGGCCTTTCTATCTGTCTATATAAGCAATCCCTGATACAATACCCATATTATATATGTCTTTATGTATGTACTATAATTTTATGCCCCACCTTATTCCACAAAGCATTTTAGGTGACTTAAAGAAATGTAAACCATAAAATTGTAAAACCAAAGAATACAACTTAAAAAAAAAAAAGCAAGATTAGAAAAACAGGTCAAAACTAGAGGCAGGGAAAATAGAGCACAATCAGAAAGGCCATGGGGCCTATACAGAAGATATTCTTAGGTCATGAACTTGGCCACAAATTTCCTGAACTTATAACAAAAATAAAGACTTATTCTGTGGATATGCACGTTCTGCATATAAAATTTACTTAAACTCATCTAATAAAGCAAAATTTATTCCCTAAAATGAGCTCATGTGGATCTTCATATAGGGAAATAGATGCCATGGCCAGTGATATCAGTGAAGTTCCTAAGAGGAAATACATGAACATTTTTTTAAGATTGTTTTTTCTGGTTTCCCTAGAGAAAACATTAAAACAAATCCTGTGAAAGCCAACTGTACATTAGACAAAATCATCCAAAACAATCTTGTCCAAATGCATGGCTTCCTTATGATAAATCTTTATTTTGTAATAATTCATATAATTTAAACAGTAATAAATGGACTGCTCATTCTCTAAATAACCATCCAAAAGTACCATTTAACAAAGTAACTCATTTTATTAATAAGTAGATAATACTGAACCCAGAGCATAGTTTTTGGCAAGGGTCTAGAGTACAGACATGGTGTTTTTTTATTTGAGGGAAGACCTATATCCTCAAACAAGTGTGGCTGAGCTCCACAGACAGTGAGAAGCCTAAAAAAGCTCACCTGTCAGAGAACATCCCATATCCATGTGGAGAGCCTTTTAATAGTGAGAACTTATGGCAGGATCTAGTAGTCACATTTGGCTGCTATTGATCATTAATATATTGTATATTACTTTTTGTGCTTTATCAGTTAAGACCTGGGCCTTCAGACTCAGGATACAGAAAAATAAATTTCAGTAAAAGAGTGAGTTGAATCTCAGAAGGTTTTAAGGTTGAGCCTTTAAGTTTAGGAATGAAGAGTTGGGTACCTGGAAATACCAAGATGGTAAGAGAAAGGAAAATATTGAATAACAGGAGAGTATCACAGAAGGGGAGAGGAAGCAGGACTTGGTGGTATAATGGGAAGGAGGAGGATTTATCAGTGCAAATAACAGTAATGATATTTGTTTCCTGTTTTACTGAATATTCTAAAGCTTCTTATACAGGTATATGCATAGAAGGTTTTCTGTCAAGTGTAAAAGTTTATGTGGGGCAGCCATTCTTTCATTTTAGCTCCTTCTCAGCTGTTATGTTTCGTTTCTTTGATGCTTTCTTTTGTGTTTGAAATGACTTCTTACAAGACTAACTACATAATTTGTGAGGCCTAGTGCAAAATGAAAATGTAGGCCTCTTTTTCAAAAATTATTATTAATTTCAAACTGACAGCAGACTGTTAAGTTGGGTATGCGACCCTTCTAAATGCAGGGTCCTGTATGACGGCTCAGGTTGCATGCCCTTGAAAACAGTCCTGGATTCTTTCTGTTCTCTGGATCTAAGCAGCTGTTCATTAAGTGTTCCTGAATTAGGTCACGAATACTTCTTACGTATTAAGGGAAATAATTTTAGGCAGTTTTACATCAGTTATTGACCAGCCCTTTCTATCTTTCTTCTCTTCCCCTTGATGTCTGCCCATTGATTCTGACAGTAACATGTTGTGCTAATGATGACAATTTCAGAAAGTAAGCATGGCAGTAAGGAGGATGACGATCTTTCTCTAGCTCTGATACAGGCTTTATTATTAAATCATTGTGTGGTCCTGGGCTTAATTGGACTTTTATGAATTTCAACTATCATATCTGTTAAAGGAGAACATCTGCCATACTACTAAAGGACAGTTGAGAGGATCAAATATGCTTTGCACATAGCATACGTGCAGAAAATATTGGCTAAAGAGACACAAATCTGTATCATTGACTCTTTCCTGTGAAGTCTGTGCTTTCTTTCTCATTGGGAAGTCTATTTCATAAAGATGAATATGCATCCATTAAAGGGACTTCAGTCATCAGTGAGCAAATAGAAGAAAATTGGAAGAAACAGAAGAGTAGTGAAGGAGCTTTGAAAGCTCACACACCAGGCCTGATTACATCAAATTCCAATTGGCCGGCCGGACGCGGTGACTTATGCCTGTAATCCCAGCACTTTGGGTGGCCAAGGCAGGCAGATCACGAGGTCAGGAGATCAAGACCATCCTGGCTAACACGGTGAAACCCCAACTCTACTAAAAATACAAAAAATTAGCCGGGCATGGTGGTGGGCCCCTGTAGTCCCCACTACTTGGGAGGCTGAGGCAGAAGAATGGCGTGGACCCAGGAGGCAGAGCTTGCAGTGAGCCCAGATTGCGCCACTGCACTCCAGCCTTGGCAACAGAGCGAGACTCCCTCTCAAAAAAAAAAAAAAAAAAAAGAAATTCGAATTGGCCTTAGGATTCAGCAGTACCAAAAAACTCAGTTTCTCTCTGCTGTGCAACCAAAATAACATGGGGCCAGCTCTGCAGCAGGCCTTGTACTGGACACCAAAGGTAGAGAGACAAGTCAGACACAGTCTCTACTCTTTAGGGATTCACAGTCCAAAAATGGCTCACTTAAAAAAGGAGTCAAAGGAGAAAGTGGGGTTGGGATAAGTTGACAGTAAATTGTAGCACTGAGCCTTTTAATCAGGTTCATGATACATCCAGCATCTGAAGAGTGTATACGTATGCGCATGTGGTTGTGTGCCCATGTACAAATGAATACTTCTCTGTGTACTTACACTTGTACATGTAATAAAAGAGCAGATAGTGGGAAAGTTATTAAAAGGAAAGCAAAGCAGTCAGATGATGCCAATATGATAACAACGGAAAAATAAGAAGGGCCGTAAGACTCATTATTGACTCCTTTCATTCACTAGTTTATTCATTCAATCAACCAGAATTTATTGGGTATATCTACATGCAAACTACTGGGTGAAGAATTATGCACAAATCCTACCTTCAGTATTGAACTCATTTAAGTTTCTTTCTTGCCCACTAGACTATAACTTTCTCAAAATCAGAGACCTTATGTATATCAACATAGAAAATATCTGTGGAATTGAATTGATAGTGAAGAAATAGAAATGATCTTCTCTTGCATATCTTAGAATGCTCTGCTCAATATCTCATTCTTAAAAATGGAAAGGGCCACAACTGCAAAGATACACGCTATTTAGCTTGCTCCAGTGATAGCCAGAACAAAATACTAAGGAACTATGCAGAGAAGCCATTACACAGGCTTCCAGTCAGGCAGATTAATCACAGAGTTCCACCAGACCCAAGGTGGGACTGCTTCATGCTGATCCCACCTACCTTAACAAGGATACACTCTCCAGGTGGGGTGAAGCTAAGAGAAGCTGCCAAATTGGCTTTGGTACATTATTCTTACATTGGCACGGCTCACAGAATTCAGTTAACTGGAAGTTAATTTTCAGTAGGCAAACTCTGGTGTGGGCCAACTATGACATAAGCAAACTGGATTCCTTTGGATTATAAGGTCATCTCAGATATATGTTCCATTTCCTAGGGGCTACAAGAGCTAGTGGTCACCAAGAATCATATTTGACTCTCCTACTAGTTTACTGTAAGCCAATCCAGAGCCAGTAGTGTCTGAGCTACAGTAATGAAAGGTGCTCAGTACAAAGACAGCAATCAGCTTGAGAACTAGATTCACATCAGTACAGGATTTACTGACTGGTTTCTAATAACTAGGCACCATGTTGAGTGTTTTATGTTATCTTCTTTTAATTCTCAAGATAATCTTAAGTTTAAGGATGAGGAAACTGAGGCTCAGGGAGATTAAGTAGTTTGTCTGTCTTAGCTGGAAAGCAGAACTAGAAATGAAACCCAGGTCCATCTGTTAACAAAGTCTATATTCTTTCTTGTCAGTATCTTTAGGCAATGCAACAGCAGGCAAAAGCAATCTACTAGTGCCACACATTTTCAATTCATTCACATTTCCAGCCTTAATGCATAGTGAGATCAGATGCAAAACAGCAAAATCCTGAAAAATAAGTGTGTGCACAATACTTAACTTGAATAAATGTTTATGATAATGAAAGGATTAAGGTGCACAAAGATATTAATATTTAGGGAAATTAGACAAAATTGATTTTATCTATTATAAGCAATATTGAATATTTAATGATCTTCTCTGTAATTATGCCTATTGGAGCTGCTATGGAAAGCATCACATCTCTGGAGGTGGTTTGAACCATCACCCATGTCTTACTAACAACAAATCTCTATACCCTTCCTTAATGTCTCTCCTGATCTCCATATTTATAGGTTTGACTGCAGCTGGATTCTTTTACCTGAATGCTTCAGAAGTTCTTGTGCAAAAATGGACAAATTTCTTTCCCTCACCTCAAACCTGCTTGTCCTTCAATAATACTTATGCTTTCACTGCCTCTGTGAATGGCACCATCTTCTACTTTAGCCCCTAAACAAACAACTAAGAGTCTTCCCAAACTCCTTAGGTCCCCTTTTTTCCCAATCACTAGGTCCTTCCTTAAATTCAAATTTCTATCTTTGAAATATGTACATGTCCTTTAAAGTTGTCTTAGTCCATTTGTGATGCTATTAACAAAATATCATAAGCTAACTGGCTTATAAACAATAGCAAATTATCTCTCACAGTTCTGGAAGCCAGGAAGTCCAAGGTCAAAGTGAGGGCTGACTCAACGTCTGGTGAGAGCCCTTTCCCTGCTTATAGCTGTGTCCTCACATGGAGAAAGAGGCAGCCTCTGTTAGAAGAGCACTAATCCCATTCACCAAGGCTCCACCCAAATTACCTAATCACCTCCCCAAAGGTCCCACCTCCTATTACCATCACCTTGGTGATTAGATTTCAACACATGAATTTTGCAGAGATACAAACATTCAGACCATAGAATATTGCTTATCAAATTTTGTAATTATATATTTCTTTTGTATTTATTTAAATAATATTTGTTCCCTCTATTAGACTTTCAGTTTTATAATAAGAACAAAATCTCTTTTTTTCCTCGTCATTTCATCCTCTGCACCAACAATGGTGTTGATACACAATAGGCATTCAATGATAACATGTAGATAGGATGAACAAAACGATTTCTTCCTTGCTATCCCTGGTGCCACACATCTAATTTAGACTCTTAACATTTTTTTTCACCTGGATTACAACGAATGTGTCCTAACTCATCCCTGATTCATCAAAAAAGTCATCTTCCATTCTTCTGCAAGAATAAGATTTCTCAGGTGCATATCTGATCACTGATCCTGTCCTTTTTTCCCCAAGTAAGAGCCCATTCAGTCAAACAGCTTGCAAGTTGGTATAGCCTCACCTTGTAATGAAAACCACTCTGTACTATAAAGAAGCCTTATGTCTATGTCCAGTTGTCTTCTGTAGCTTATTTAGCATATTCTAAAATTTCTTACATAACAAACCCTCTTAGGAATCAGTTGTATGATTTATGTAGAAATAATTTTAATACAATATCAATATTTTCCTAGGTGCAAAACTGAGTTCTGATCTCATCATAAGACCCCTGACTTAGCTGCATGACATTAAACAATCACTCAATATTCATGGCTGCAGTGCCCTATTCTCTAATCTTCAGCCATACCTTTATTATGCTGGTGACAGGAGCTTGGAGTTCCTGTTCAAGAGTCTCCTGTCTTCTGCAGTCTATGTTGTTGTAGATTACTCCCTGTCCCTTCCTTACATCCTACCCTTCCAGCACTCAAGTACATGAGAAGCCCCAAATTCAAAGATCTCTATACTGTGATATCCATAGCATCTTCTCATGTGGCATTTATCGTCTTAGATTAGAACAGAGGAACATGTATCAGTCCTGTCTTCCTTAAAAGCCTGAAAATTACATAAGCATAAGGGAAATATGTTATTAATCTTTATGTGTATAAAATACCTACTACAGAGAAGGTAGTCAGTAAATATTTATTAAAGGTCATACTATAAATATTTTGTGAACACTTATTATTTGTCAGGCACTGTTCTAGGTGCTTAGGATACATCAATACACAAACGAAAGATTTCTAACTTTGTGAAACTTACATCTTAGCAGGAGAAGACAGGCAATAAACAACAAATTTTCAAAGTAAATTATACATGTTCCTTTGAATATGATAAGGCTATAACAAATGAAAAATAGAGCAGGGTAAGAGGGAGCAATAATGGTGAGGTGGACGTGCTTTGAAATTTTCAATAGGATAAGTAGGGTAGATGCCATTGAGGATAAATAAGAGTAAAGTCAAAAGAGGTGAGGGAATTGCTATGTGAATATCTAAGAAACTTTCCAGGCAAAGGGAATAGCCAGTGCAAAGGCCATAAGGCAGGATTGTGTCTGGCATGTTTGAGGAACAGCAGTGGTCAGTGAAACTGGATTGCTGTGAGCAAGGGGGAAAGTGGTAAGAGATGAAGTGAGTAGAGGTGTGCAGTGATGTGACTTGTGTTTTAAAAGATCATGCCACTGTGGAGAACAGACTGTGAATACAAGGGTAAAAGCAGGGGTCAGTTAGGAGGTCATGAAGTAATTGTGAAGAAAGATGGTGGTGGCTCAGTTCAGTTCAACAACATTCACAGGGCATCTACAGTTTCTGGCTCTCTGAGAGTATAAAGATGGCAAAATTGTCTCCTCCTGAAGGAACTCACAGACAGCAATATGTTCCTAACCTAATTTCCAGCCTCATCACCTAGCACAGGACCCAAGCTCAGCTCATCTTCTCCATTCTCAGCATGCCGTATTACAGCCAGCCAAAATTGCTCATTATTTTCCAAACACACCATGCTGTCTCATGCCTTTGCAATACCCTTCCCGTTGCCAGGGATCCATTTCCCCAGCTTGCTAAACTCACAAATTGCAACTCCTTCTTCAAGACTCAACTCAAAGGCCAATTTCTCAGATAAGTTTTCCCTAACAACCTGTGAAAAATTGGCTGTGCACCTTCCTCTTTCTTTCCCTGGCATCCTGTGCATACCATGAATCAAGGTGTATTATAAATAGATTCCTTTTAGACTGTAAGCCACAGATATATGATTTATTCAATGTCTACATCTAACAAAAGTATTTGCCTTTGGTAGCACTTTACTAAACACAGAAAAGACGTAAGAAAGGAAGAACATTTTTTAAAAAGAGTAAGGAAGGAAAGAACTAATACAAGTCATTTATGAAAGGTTGCCAACATAGTCTAGAAAAACTACCTGCACGTGGTCCTGTTTAAAGAAACAACTGGGAGCAAGCAGGGTAAGAACCACGCAGGTTCTCGGCATATTTATCAGCAAATGTTCAGCTCCAGAAATAGCCTGAAATTAGGGTAGGATGACATGGTCAGTGGGAATCAGTCATCTGTAAAATTCTTCTGATCAGAAAAAAACATTTGTATTCCTTGATTGAATTCAAAAAAAGACTTGTCAGTATCTGGGTCCTGACCTTTGAAGATTGCCTGAGGTGTAATGGGAACACAAATATGCTGAGCAGGACAAATGAGTAACCAGATCTGCTTTGGGAAGTGACTTGGCACTGGCTGGGGCTGGCTGTCATAGCACTAGGCCAACACCAGGGCTGGGAAGAGGCTAAGACGCCCTGGAAAACTAACCATGCCTGGTGTGAAGGATAAGGTCTAAACTAAAGGCAGGTGTGTAGGGAAAGCAGCTGTCATGCTGCAATGGGTGACTCACCCCACCTTATCTAACTTAATCTACTCAATTACACCAAAAGCTAGATATAATAATCTTTTATAGACACAAAAATTGAGGCATAGAGATATTAAGCAACTTGTCAAGAGCCATACTGATACCAGGTAGAGCCTGTCTTCACACCTGGGTCTGTCTTCATATCTATTTCAGTCCAGGACTGAAGCTACCCATGTAGCTGCTCAGCTTAGGAGTACGGCTTTGGCCTGAGAGGAGACTCAAGTCCCAGACATGGTTCTGTCCACCTTGCTTATGTGCCTCCAGGCAGATCATTTCTCCTCTCTGAGCCTTGTTTTTACCATTTGTTCATTGAGAGTTAGGGTCAGGTGATCATTAAGGTCTCTCCAAAATCTGAAAATCTATATTTAGTAAGAATTTTAAGGATGCTAGTTTCTTCTCTCCTTCCCCTTCTCCCTTACCATACACCCAAATGCCCTCTCAAGAAGCAGTGTATAAAGAATCTTTTTATACTATCCAGTTTGGAAAGAGAAGTTTAACAAAGGGTAGAGCCTCCAGAGACATTATCACTGTTGATTCACTGAGAACTACATATATCCTCCCCACATTTAGTGTCTCATCCGCTTTGTTTTTGTCAGGAAAACTCACCCTCTGCCTAGCAAAAGAGAGCTGGCTTTATCTTCCTCAATTCACTCTTTTTAAATCTATCTTGGGGTTTCAGTTGCACTAAAGAACTCTATCCAGCACATAATTGGAGGAAATATAATGGAAATATTGAAACAAAAATAATATTCTCCCTAATATATTCATTTTAATTGTTCCTTTTCTTCTCACTAGAGTGAGTGGGAGGTTATCCCTTCTATTTCAGTTACCTCTTCTTTCAATGACTGGGTTTTATAATGTGCTATTTTGTGAGCTTATGTTTTTTCCTCCCCACCTCCAACTCCCTAATATTAAAGCACATCTGGATTCCAGTTAAATCATTTTATTCTTTCTGATATACTTGATCATAAGCCAAAGAGCAAAAAGTATTCTGTTTATGATCCAAATACCCTTATTAATTTCTTCTATCAAATTAAATATTTCTAGAATGGGTAAAAAAAACAGGTCTGGTAATAAAAGCAGACATTCATAGATTGGCCTTAGGTTCTGGAGACTATGTAGGGTTTTATGAAAAATTAGTAAATTGAACAGTAATTCTTATAGCTACAATATTTAAGGAGGGTCATATAGCCTTAATTCTTAAACAGTAAGATTTGGAAGAAGGATATTATTGGTTCCATTTTATATCTAAGGAAACAAAGCCTCAGGAAAGTTACACAAATTGCTCAGTCGGTCAACAAGTAAGTGGTAGAACTTGGCTTCAGAAGTTGGTTTCATAAAGAGGGATCAGGAAGAAAAGGTGAATTGCTAGGGAAGGAGTTTGTCTTCTTCAAAATTCTCTATAATAATTAAGCGCAATACTTAGGAGACTCGTGGCAGTCGAAACTCCAAGACTGGATCCTATCCCAGACCACTTTGCTAGAGATACTGTTTTTCTTCAATCTTGGAGACCCTGGGGGACCACCAGCACAACTGCCTAGTTAGCAGCAGATCATAGGGTGGAATGCAGGCTGCTACCAAGCAAGATCTGTCTCAGCAAGACTCTTTCTTTGGGAGATGCAGAAAGTGCAGTATTTAAGTGGTGTCACCAGCCTGAATCTGATGCAAAAGAGGCATATATGCAGGTGCACATACACATTACTCACTCATACACATACACATAAACCCATACATACCACATTCACCTCACACACACATATACCATACACAGAACAAAATACAGACAGTCTCTAACTTATGATGGTTTTACTTAGGAGTATTTGATTTTGTGATGATGTGAAAATGATACAAATTTAGTAGAAACTGTATTTCAAGTACCCATACAGTCATTCTGTTTTTCATTTTCATTATACTATTCAATAAGTTATATAAGGTATTCAACACTTTATTATAAAATCAGCTTTGTGTTACATGACTTTGCACAACTATAGGCTTTTGTTAAGTGTTCTGAGCACATTACTGTAGGAAAGACTAAGCTATGATGTAGGTTAGGTGTATTAAATGCAGTTTTGACTTCCAATGTTTTCAACTTATGATGGGTTTATCAGATTGTAACCCCATCATAAATTCTGGGAGGTTGGGTAAGTGGGAGTAGCTACTAATGCATACAGGTTTCCACTGGGGGGAGTGATGAAAATGTTCTAAAATTAATTGCAGTGATGGTTGCACAACTCTGGGTATATTAAAAACCATTAAATGTACACTTCAGATAAGTGAACTATATAGTATATTAATTATATCTTGATAAAGCCTTTATGAAACTAAAAGACAGAAACTTGATCAGACCCACATCTGGTTGGCACATATGGAGAGATTGCAAGATTATAAACCCTAAATTCAAGGGTCTTTCTAATATTAATAATCTGAGTAACTTTGGACTCAAGAAGAATATGATCTGCATAAAAGGACTACAGAAAGTTGGCTGGGCGCGGTGGCTCAAGCCTGTAATCCCAGCACTTTGGGAGGCTGAGGTGGGCGGATCTTGACGTCAGGAGATCGAGACCATCCTGGCTAACACGTTGAAACCCTGTCTCTACTAAAAATACAAAAAAATTAGCTGGGCATGGTGGCGGATGCCTGTAGTCCCAGCTACTTGGGAGGCTGAGGCAGGAGAATGGCATGAACCCAGGAGGCAGAGCTTACAGTGAGCCGAGATGGTGCCACTGCACTCCAGCCTGGGTGACAGAGCGAGACTCTGTCTCAAAATTAAAAAAAAAAAAAGGACTACAGGAAGTCAGAGTGTACTGCTGACTTTATGGTTTTTTTGTTTTGTTAATCATAAATAAATTTAAAATTATGAAAGCAATGATATTTAGTTTTAAATATTTTGCAGAACACACAAAAGAACACACAAAAAGAACACACAAAAAAGAGAAAAAGCACTCAAGCCACTAAAAATATTTGTTTATATCATTAAATGTATATATGATATTTAGCTTTGTTTTAAAATATTCTTTTGTTTAAAAGATTTTAATTACTTCATCTTAGGATGCTCCAAATATATTTAACCAATCACTACTGATGGGTACTTGGATAATTTATAATTTTTCCCAATTACAATGTACACTGCCATGAACATCCTTAAAAACAAATCTTTGAGCATATCTCTGATTATTTCTTTCATCATCACAAATCTGAACCCCCAAATCTAGTTGAGGTAAATATCTGATCATACTTTGACTTCATAAATCACAGGGAAAAACATGGCCTTTGGAAATCCCTGGTTTCTGTTCCTGGTCCAACCACTTAATTACCCTAAAAGGTAAACATATGGCCCCAAATAAATCCAATCTGATTTAATTATCATGCTTAAAAGTTAACTACTAATTGAAAGACAATTCAAGGTGTTGATTTATAACCAAAAAGATCAGTAGAGGCCCAAAAGAAATAGACTAAATAGAGTGAATATTAATAACAACAACTGAGGCTCAGAGGGCCAAGGAAAGTGCCCAAGACTGGCAGAACTGGGATACTTGCAATAACTGGCAGAACTGGTACTCAGATTGAGGCTCTATGACTCCAAAGTCAGTACTTTCCCTATTGGACTTCACTGCTTCACATAACAGACACTGTCCTCAAGGAATTTGCAATTGGAATTTTTGATGGCAGGTAACATATGTGCACAAATAACTGTAATTTAGGCAGAGTAAGCTAAGTGCCATAAAAATGGTTCAGACATAGTATTTTCTGGGTAGAATTAGGAAATTCTTTATAGGGACAATAATATGTGATGTGTGCTATTAAGGATGAATTCATTCAATCATTTAATAAATATTTGAGTAAATATTTGAAGTAAAGCAGACTCTACCAGTTAACTACCAAAATCCATGTTCTCCACTTCTTCCTGCACACACAGCTAAATGTCATTTCACAAATTCCTTTTGTTGGATGTGGCCATTAAACTACAGGTTAGCCAATGAAATTTGACTGAAAGTGATATACGCCACTTTCAGTACTACTAATAGAAAGCTCCCATGTGGGCTGTTTCTACATTTTCCCATCTGGCTGGCTAGAATAGAGATGATGCCCAGGTGACCGTGGAAACTATGAATTGAAGATGATAGTCAGTCTGGGTTCCTGAATGATGGTATGTTTGAAAGTTGCCCTGTCCATCTGTTCATGTGGAAGAAATCAACTTGTATTTGCTTGATCCATTAGATATCTTATGGTCAATCCAATATTACAGTTGGCCTACCCAAACATAGGCAGGCACTGGGACACGAAAAATAAATTTGTCATATGCCCCCAAGGAACTTAACATTTGAAGGGAAGGAAGTAAATCCATAGGAAAATCTGACACAGCATTGCACTGACAGGAGGAAGGTCTGTATATGGGCACCTAATCCCATCTTGATAGTTCAAATGATGAAACTTTCTAAAAAGAAATGGTATATAAGTTGAGGCCTGAAGTATATATAGAAATCCTCTAGGGAAAAAGGAGAAGTGAACTTGAGAACATATTTCAGGCATAGGGAGAATATGTGCAGTTTGAGGTATATAAAAGAGCATTGGTGTACAGGATGTCTACAGGTAGAGAAAGCAGGGAGATTAATGATAAAACTGATTATAGAGTATCAGTGGACTATGCCAATTTGTTTTTTGTGGCCTTTGTGTTTTATTTTTCCAGGGTCTTTTCCCTGTTTTGTCTCCACAGTTGCCTCCCTAAGTCTTCATTTCTCCCTGCTCACTCAGGAGTTGGGTAACCAATTTGTCTTGATTTTCTCCAGGGACATTCCCAATTTAAAACTAAAGCCTTTACTTCTACATCTCAGGAAAGCCCAGAGTTCCAGGCAAACTAGAAAGGTTGATCACCCTATGCATCAGGAGTAGGTAATGGAAACAGCATAGCTAAGGGTCATATAAATTTGGGACGGAGTTCTGGCTCTGCCCCTGACTAGCTGTAAGACCGTTTTCTGAGCCCTGGTTTCTTCACCTGTAAAATGGTCATAACAATCTCTGATTTTTCTGTCTCTTAGAGCAACTATGAGAATATCATGATCCAAAATCATTTTGTGACAATAAACTATTATGTAGGCTGTTTCATATTATGGAAAAACATTAGAAAGCCTGGGTTCAAAACTCATTCTTGTATAGTAGTTGGAATATTTAGACAAATACTTCTCTGTCCCTTAGTCTCTTTGTGTGCAAAATAAAGGCACTGGGGTGGCTAATCAGTAAGGCTCAGGTCCTTCCTTCCAGGATGTCAGTGATAACAGCACCACGCCCCACAAATACTAGGTTTTCTCACTCATGTTCTGGCCTGTCTGCTATGAGAGAGAGAATTTAAGCAGCACAATAGCACAATCTCTGTATTATTTAAGATTAACTAATGGTAGCTATTATTCCTGTTGCCCAAGGGCAGGAGCTAAGATTTGAATTTGGGTTTGACCATTTGATGGCAAAGTCAGTGCTTTTTCCCTGCATCAAGTTGTCACATTTCATCCCCTTTTCTTGGAGTAAAGGCAAACAGAAGCAGTGTGAATGCATTCAGGAAAGTGATTGGCCTGCAAATCAGTCCCATGAGGGCCCAAGGCTCTGTTGTGTACTTACTTGAGTAAGCCATATATCTTCTAGATTCTATTTCCCCAGATGAAAGACTATGAATAATAATCTCTATTTTATATACAAGGTGGAAGGAAGTAGTATATCTCTTTAAATAAATTGGTTCCTATCACTTATAAGGGGAGCAGAAAAAAGCACATCCATTCTAGTGGAAATAGAAGAGGATGGCCTACATCTTCCCTGGGTTTCTTTCTTACCCTGTACAAGAACTCTCCAGAGAGCACAGTATGAAAATCATCTAGAGTGGACAACCTCACTGTGCTCTGTGTGAAAATGGTGGCTCAGAGAGGTTAAGTTACCTTACTCCTGGCTCATTCCATGAGTTAGTAGAAGACCCAGAGATAAAATATAAACTCAAGTCTATATTATCTCCACCACCCTACCCTATTTCTAGTTGAACATGTTTCTTTTTCTCAGGTCAAATTATTCATTTTGAAGGATTTATTTATTTATTTATTTATTTATTTATTTATTGATGATTGATTGATTGAGATGGAGTCTCACTCTGTCACCCAGGCTGGAGTGCAGTGGCACGATCTTGGCTTACTGCAACCTCCTCCTCCCAGGAACAAGTGATTCTTCTGCCTCAGCTTCCTGAATAGCTGGGATTATAGGTGCCCACCACCATGCCTGGCTAATTTTTTTTTGTATTAGAAGCAGGGTTTCACCATGTTGGCCAGGCTGGTCACAAACTCCTGACCTCAACTGATCCACCCTCCTTGGTCTCCCAAAGTGCTGGGATTATAGGTGTGAGCCACCACACCCAGCTCATTCTTAAGGATTTCTAGAGTTCTTCATTTTGTAACATCTATGGCTATAAAGGGCTCCTCTCCATGTGTCTTCTCACCCCTCATTCAATCTCTGGGAAGTCTCAGATCCTTCTGGGATTTTTGACATTCTATAAAATATTTGTATGGTTTGGGGACATTTTTGTGGAGAGATGGTAGTTAGGTGAAGTAATGTGGGTTTTATTTTGTTGCTTTTTGTTTGGAGATAATTCAAAATTCTCAGGAATTTGGAAAAATGGTTCAGCAAGGTCTTGTGAGCTCTTCACCATGGTTCCCCCAAAGTTTCCCCAAAGACTGCATCTTTTATTAGTATAGTACAATATCAAACCAGGAAATTTACATTGTTACAATATGTGTGTATAGTTCTATGTCATCTTGTCACCTGTAACCACCACCACAATCAAGATACATAATTATCCCATTACCAAAAAATCTACCATATGCTACCCCTTTATAGTCAGTGATATGGTTTGGTTGTGTCCCCACTCAAATCTCCTCTTGAATTATAATTCCCACAATTCCCGCATGTCATGGGAGAAACCTCGGTGGGGAGGTAATTGAATCATGGGGTGAGACTTTCCTGCACTGTTATCCTGATAGGGAATCATGAGATCTGATGATGGTTTTAAAAAATGGGAGTTTTTCGCACCTGTAATCCCAGCACTTTGGGAGGCCAAGGTGGGCGGATCATGAGGTTAGGAGATCGAGACCATCCTGGCTAACACGGTGAAACCCCATCTCTACTAAAAATACAAAAAAAAAAAAAATTAGCTGGACATGGTGGCAGGCGCCTGTAGTCCCAGCTACTTGGGAGGCTGAGGCAGGAGAATGGAGTGAACCTGGGAGGTGGAGCTTGCAGTGAGCCAAGATTGTGCCACTGCACTCCAGCCTGGGCCACAGAGGGAGACTACGTCTAAAAAAAACTAAAAAAAAAAACCCCCCAAAAAATGGGAGTTTCCCTGCACAAGCTCTCTCTGCCTGCCACCATCCATGTAAGATATGACTTGCTCTTCTTTGTCTTCCACCATGATTGTGAGGCCTCCCCAGCCACATAGAATTGTAAGTCCACTAAACCTCTTCTTCTTCCCAGTCTTAGGTATGTCTTTATCAGCAGCATAAAAACAGACTAATAGAGTCACTCATCCTTTTTTTCCTCAATATTACATTATATATATATATATATATATATATATATATATATATATATATATATATATATATATATATAAAACCTATCACAGTCTACTGGTGTTGACATTTACCAATTTGAGTGAGGTGTAGAAACTCTACCTTATTTTAAGTCCCTTTACCTTTCCACGTGTAATTCTGTTAAATATTTCTTCTACATATACTGAGAACCATGTCAATGTTATAATTTTTGCTTCAATATAAGGCATATTTAGAAAACACAGAAAAAAAGGTCTACAGTATTTACCTATATTTTTATTCTTTTTGTTGTTGTTTCTTCCTGATATACTAAGAGTCCTTTTAAAATTTTCTTTCTGTTTGAAGAACTTCCTTTACCATTCTTTTAGAATAAGTCTGCTGGCAAAAATACCTTTAGTTTTATTTTATCTAGAATGTCTTGATCTCTCCTTCATTCTTAATGGATATTTTTGCTGGATAAAAGGGTCCGGGTTGATGTTCTTTTAGCATTTGAAAAACATCGTGCCACTTTACTCAGGCTTCAATAGTTTCTGTTGTGAAGTCTGCTGTATTCCATTTTATTCCTATTGATAAGGTATCATTTTTCTCTTATTGTTTTCAAGATTCTTTCTTTGTCTTTAATTTTCACACATTTAATTATGACATTTCTCGGCATGGATTTTCTGTTTGAGGTTCACCTGGTTTCTCAAATTTGTAGGTTTATGTGTTTTGCAAAATTTGGGATGATTTCATCCATTTTAAACATTTATTTTTAGTCTCACTCTCTCCTATCGTTCTGAAACTCCAATGGCATGAATGCTATAATCTTTTGTTAGCATCCCATAGGTCCCTGAGGCTCTGTTCATTTTTCTTTTAAGACTGTTCTTTTCATTTTCATTCATAGTGGGTAACTTCTATTGTTCCATATTCAAGTTCACTTATTCTCTTCTCTGTCTTCTGTACTCAGCTATTGAGCCCATTCTTAAGTGGGTGGTGGAAGGTCACATTCCCCATGTGATCTGACACCACGAAGAGGAAGGAGGGAATTCATTACCACCCAGCAGAACGAAAGTCCTGTTTCTTATTTTTTTCTGACACCACCTATTGGGGAGTGGGGTGGTGGCAAAGACAAAAGTCTATGCTTCCTACTAGCCCTTTGTTGGTGAAAGTAGAAATGTGGATGCAGTTTATTTATTTTCCCCATTGTGTTTGGCTGGAGTAGGTGATCATTGTCTCACAATAATCTCTCATGCTAGACTGCCCTTTTTCTGGTCCTTCATTTAGTATGAAAATATTTTGGGGAGCACCTTTTATTTGTCTGTACCTGTGGCATTTCCAGGTTGCCAGCTTCTCCAATAACTATTTTGGCATACATGTGGCAAAAAGGAAACCCACAGAACTCACACAATACCATTTCTTAGGTCCTAAGGAACCTAAGTAGTCTTCCCTCTTTTCTCCACCTTTCAGAGTTTTCTATGTTTGTTTCATAAATGCTGTGTATAGTTTTAGCTGCGCTCTAGAAATAGAGGGAAGTATGTCTACTCCATCATGTCCCGGAACCAGACTGTAATATTTTACCTTTTCTTTTTAATGCAGAAATATTTGTTTTTGAAAACTTGATTTTAGGGCATTACATTAATGTCAATACTCTTAAGATACAAAATTGAAATAAAAAAAAACATAGATCATTTTATGGCTCCTAAAGTAACCATTTTTTAAATGCCAATTTTTAATGCTGTCCAAATTTGCAATAAAACTGATGCAGTGATAGACCAATAGCAATATTTTAAATTGGTACAACATTTTTGGAGAACATGTATAACAGGAGTTTATAGACATTAATCTTAGAGTCTATCTCTTAGAAGCTGCTTGTAAAAAATTATTTAACAAACCTAAAACCTATGTGATATTTATTATCTATTATACTTTAGAAAAATATGGAAAATCTAAATGCCCAGCAATAGGAATATGATACAGGAAATCATGATACATTAAAAAAGTAGAAATCATTATTATTCAAACATGGTGTGATTAACACTTAGAGAAAAATATTAAAATTGTTTTTGATACAATGTCAAATGAAAAGATCAACATACAAATGAGTACATACATTTAGCTGTTTCCGTGTTAAAATGTGTGTAAGAAAAAAACTAAAAAGGAAAATGTAAAATTAAAAATAATCATTAGGTTTAGTGGAAGATACTGAATTAATTTATAAATAGACATTTATTGAATACCTGTTATGTACCAGGCATAGTTCTAGAGCTAGAAATATAGAAGTGTATAGAAATGACAAAAATCCTTACCCCTATGGTGCTTAGTTTGCAGCAGAGGGGGAGACAGATAATAAATAAATAATATATTGTAGTTTGCTGGATGGTAATAAGTGCAATGTAAAAAATAAGACAGAAAAAGAGAGTAAGTATGTGTGGAACAGAGGATGTAATTTAATTTTAAATGTATGACTTTTTTTAGCTATGAGAAAAAATTAAGTATGACTTTGTTTTACAAAATATTAATTTATAAATTTATAATTTCTCAAGTAAAATATAAATTTTTGTTTTTAATAATAGAGTAAAGGCCCCATTATTTCAGAAAAGACACCACTAATTTCAAAATTTTAAAATTTTGACAGGAGCGAGGCTAAACATTACTACATTAAGACTTACAGAAAGTATGAATCTATTGCTAGGTGTACATACCTCTATCACTGCATTTCATTCAAAGAATGTTAAAATTATGTTTACTTGCTGTCTATCCCATAAACCTATATCTTTTTCATTTAATTTTGTAGCTAAATGTTTGAGAGAGCTGTCCATATTTATTGTCTCCATTTCTTCATACATTCTCCATCCTCCAACTCACTCCTTCATCCACATGACCTGGCTTGAACTCCTACCACCCACCAGGTCACTAAAAGTGCACTCACGAAAGCCTCTCAAGACCTCCATGTCACTACATGCTTTAATTATCTTTGACCTAGGTAGCAGTTGGCAGTATTAGTCCCTCCACCCTGTTAAAAAAGACTTCGCTCTTTGGTTTCATGACACTGCATTTTCTTTTTTTTTTTTTTTTTTCCTATCTCTGTGGCTAGTCCCTCTCATCCTCCTTTGTGGGCCTCTTATCCTCTACCTGGCCTTTAAATGTAGGGATTTCTCAGAGCCTTATCCTAATCTCTCTTCTCATGGCCTCCCTGAGAAATCACATCTTCTCCTACCATTCTGGTTATCACCTGTAGACTGATGACACCTTAATCCGTACTTCCATATTCCTCTCTTGAGTCTCTTACCAATATACCACACTACCTACCTGACATCTCTGCTTGGATGCTTTCCAGACACTTCTAGCTTAATGTTTCCCAGGCTAAACTCATCATCTCCCTTATCCAGCCAAATCTTCCTAAACTGTTTCTCCTCCTATGGTCCCTATCTTCAGTAAATGACATCATCCCTTCTGTTGTTCATGCCAGAAAATCTGGGAATCATCCAGGACTCCTCCTTCTCTTTTACTCTCCACATCTAGTCAACCACAAAGCTAAATTGATTCAATCTTCCATTATCCCTGAAAACCATCCACTTGTTTTATCACTACTGTTACCAACCCAATCCATCATTAGCTGTAGCCTAAGGCATATTGCAAAAACATCCAAATAATTTTCATCCTCTCCAAAATATTCCCCATTCAGCAGCAAGACTGATCTTTCTAAACTGCCAATCTGATCATGTCCTGCCCCCATTTAATCATTTTAATTTATTTCCATTGTCATTAGAATCAAGTCCTACTCTTTAGCTTGGTTTATAAGGCTCACCTCAATAATCTCTCCAATCACTTTCTCCTCAGAATTTAATGCTTCAATTATGTTGGCCTTTTCTCATCAAAGATGAAATGTTCTCTCTCATTTTTTTGGCCTTCAAGCACATTCTGTTTCAGCTCTTAGTACAAACAATACTTCCTAAGGAAGGTCTCTTATCCTTGGTGTATATGAAGTCTTAAATTCTATGTAGTATTTAAATTATAACTGTTATTACAAAGTTCTCATTATAACAGTTATCATACTTTACTAGAGCTACATATTTAATGTTTAGCATAGTAGACTATAAGCTATGAGACTATGAAACATATCTCTCTTGTCACTGTTATGTTTTAATGCCTTGCATAGTTCCTGGTTCATTTTAACTACTCAGTAAGCATTTATTGATAAGCAGAAGGAGGGAAGAAAGAGAGGAGGGAGAAAAAGAAGAAATAATACTCAATCAGTCTTGGGTGAATTACAAGAAAGGAGAAAAACAGGACATTTGTTTAATAACACACTTCAGACTTTAAAAAGTATTTACACATTCAGTTCACATTTGTTTCTTATAACAACGCTGGGAGGAAGTATTATTATGTACTTTTTACAGTGAGAAAACAGGATAATGAAAGAGGTAGCATGGCTCATCATGTTATTTCTTCCACCCGGAATCCCATTTCCTTAATTTTATCCACTTTCCATTCCTTGAGATATAGCTGAAATATCACCTGGTCCTTAGCATGTCTCCTTTTCCCCTCGTGGCCTTAATAGTATAATTTTCTTCCTCTTCTCTAATCCCACTGCATGCTTTATGTGCTACTGATTCTTAGCACAATGTTCTCTACATTGTACCTGTTTATTTTTGTGTTTCATTCCAACCTCTAAAAAAGTAAAATCTTTAAAGAAATAATCCTAATCAACTGATATTAATCACCCCAAGATCTAGCACAGAGTAGATGATCAATAAAAATATGTTAAATGGAAGCCATCTCTAACAGCTAGTCCAATCTTTTCAATCTGCTATAATGAAAAAGCCAATCCAATAAGTTATTTCAGATTATCCAAAGGCCACACAATAGCATGCTACTCCTTGCTTCTTTTTGTCTCCTTCTTCCAACATCCCCATGCATGGAATGTGAGAGGAACAGTAAACTTGGAATCATGTGATTTCTGGCTGGTGCTACCACTTACTAGTAATGTAAATACTCCTAGCTTCAGTTTCTGCAGAGGTGAAGATACAGTTCTTAGTTGTCTTGCAATGCCAGTTCCTAGCAGTGCCTAGCACACAGTAATGAACACGGTTAAGAAATATTAATGAGTTATGAGACTTGGATACTGTTAAGAAATATTAATGAGTTATGAGCATCAGAAACCTGATGCTACAGAGCCCTAACCACAATCCTTAAGAAGTCTAATATGTAATTATTTAATCCTTAGGAAGTCTAATATGTAAATAAAATTGGAGTGAACTAAAACAGGCAGAAAACTTCTGAATCTTCCAGCTTCTCCATTTGCTGCTAGATGTCTCCTCAAGGCAGAACAGCCTTGAATGGCCACATATTTACATAATGGTTTTCCAGTTGTATCTTGTGTTAATTTGCTTTCTATAACTAATTAACTACCGGTCTATGCTAAGACTTGAAGGCCTTGGTACCTGTTACAGCCCCCTATGAGAGGTGAAGAAGAATGTTTGTTTCATCTTGAAAAGGTGAAAAAAGGGTGTTTTCCCAATTTTTATACATATATATATATACACACACATACATATATATATATACACACACATACATACATATATGTATTTTAAATTATATATATAATATCCAGGAAATTTCAGATTTTTAGTGTTTATCCTAAAGTAAGAATTTTTCCATGACTTATTTGGAATATCGAAGGAGGTAATACCCTAGACAAGTAAAGTATTACAAACTTTTTTTGTTATAGTGCTTGCCTTGGTATTGGGAAAGCTAGAATTAGAAAGACACTGGAGAAGATACTATAAATTTGAGATCTACGAGGTATTTTTCAGGTTTGAGTTAGGTCATTGCCAAGATTCCTAAATTGGGATAGACTCCTTGGAGCCAATAAAATCTAATATTCTGAGAGCCCATAGCCAATTCCTTATCAAACCCTGGGAACATTTAGGATAATGGCTGCTGGGAGATAGGCTTGGGTGTAGGTAACTGACTCAAAGCATAAAAGGAAGTCCTAGACATAGAGCACCAAGGTGGAAGAAAAGATGTTCAAAATTCAACAGTAGCAAGGAGAATAACAATTATGATTTGTAGAGATTAGTTAATAAAAATTCTAAATATAAAGTTCCCTTTTGGAACAGATCTTTTATAGCATATTCATCCTGTATCCCAATATCTACAACAGTGCATAGCACATGAAGGTGCTCAATAAAGTCCTATGAAGTAAAAAAAAAAATCTAAACATCTGGCTTGAGGAAAGGAAACTCTGAAGCAATGTAAGTAGCTTTGTATCCAAGTTCTGGGGATGGTAAGGTAAAAAATAGGAGATATTACGTATACAGTGTGATGTGCTATGGTACCTTATGCCTAAGTGGCTTAATAAACTACAACAAACTCAATTCTGAAACTTTAGGCTCTTTCAGACCATTAGAGGAGTCCAATGACTGGATAACGGCTGCTGCTGATTGCCTGCCAACATTGCATAAGAGCACCAACTTAATTCTAAAGCATCATAATCCAAAAGCAAGGACCCAATAAAATTTCAAAATCTTATCAAGAGCCCTAGCAGAGAAGACACAACATAGTTCATGAGAAAAAAGAAGCAAAGTGAAATAATTAAGGCTTATGCATCTTCAAAAGCACAAAAAAGGATTCTAGAACTTAACATTTGGGAAAAATGGATGGTGATTATTATTGCTGTACAAGATCCCAACACAGAATATGGAAAAATATATACAATGTCATTTCGAAGGCCCTCATGAGCAAATCAACAGTGATGTCCTGTTACTTGCAAGGTTTATAGTACTAATCTATATATATGCCTATTAACAGAGAAATGATTTCTATTATTATCTACTTGGGCTGGAACCAGAGACTCAAAGCAAAGGCCTACCCCTTGCCCAGAAAGACTGAGAGAAGGAGCAGCAGATTAGTTGATTTGATACAGGAAAGCAAAAAATCATGCCCAAGGAGATATTTTCACCTTTCATAAACAGTGTTTATTATTGTCATCAAATGCCTACACTTTTATAAACCTGAGCTTCTCAGCCCAACATTAATAGAAAATTGCCAAGTATCATTTGGAGATAAAAGCGCAATTCAGTATTTATGAATTGCTAGTTTGCTATAAATATAGACATTTGGAGACTATCTTCTCACTAGTCATTAATATTTGAACAGAGATCAAAGCTATAACAATATTAACAATTCGTTGCATTTGTATAGGGTTTTATATAATACTATTAATAATAGATGCCATTTATTGAGCACTTAGTAAGTGCCAGGCAAAACTTTACATGTAAATTCTCATAACAAATTCAGTTCATCTTAACAGGCATTCACTTAACACCTACTGTGTGATAGATGAATAGGTTAATAATACTAGGTTTTTGTCTTTGAAGTCTTTCATTTTGTTGTACTCAATCAATACTTGCTGAATGAATAAATGAATGAATGAATTGGCTGAAAAGGTATTACAGGGTAACATAAATAACACAGGGCACTCCCTTACTCTTTATGGTCTTAACAAAGTACTTAACTTATCCTAGCCTCAATTTTTTCATCTGTAATATAGGGATACTTAAAATTTCCTTTGCAAAAATGTGGAAATAGTAACAACAAATATAAAGCATCTGACCCAAATGGATTTTTAATAAGTGAGGTAGTTATTATTACTAGTATTATTAATATTATTATTACCATCATTATTACAATTATTAACCAATCCTATCCAACTCCCCTCCTCCTCACTATAGCAATGGTACAAATAGAACTTTAAAATACACACACACACACACACACACACACACACACACACACAAAACACAAAAACCATGCAAAGCAAGAGAAAGCTACTGAACTGTAGTCCCTAATGTCCTCCTAAGTTACTAAACATAATCTATGCTTAGGCTAGGAAAAAAAAAAAGAACCAACTTTATTTATGTTTCCAAAGATACCATAATAAAAGCCAAACAGGACAGGAAGCTTACCAAATAACAGACTGCCTTTTCTCATAATTGAATGCTGGTCATCCCAAGCACAGGACCATGTTTCCAACATTCTCAAGAACAGTACCCAAAGAATGGCCATACAGAAACTCATCCTCATTCTTCTCAGTGACAGTAAGTCTGATCCCCAGCTGTACAGCAGATAAACTAGAGTTCTGGGTAAAATTTTCTTTTAAAAATTTTTATTTTTAATTTTTTTTGGGGGTCCATTAGTAGGTGTGTATATGTATGGGGTCTGGGACAAATTTTCTAACCAGGAAGGGGTCCCATTCTGTAGATCACTTACCATTTTGGTCTGCTGGTAGATTTCACCATAGGGGCCATCCCATCTCTATAGAGACTCTTGGTTTTACTGAAGTTAACAATGTTGAAAATGACCCTCTGAAAAAGAAAGAGGGAGAAGTTCATCTTTATGCTATGCAAATTGTAACTTCCTGATAATTAAGACAGGAAATAAGAAACAGGGTTAAAGAAAGCCATATGGACTAGCAGGCAACTGTATAGTGAGAGTACACAGTGCTCATGAGAATGTAATGTGTTTGTGCCAGCTAAGCATAGCAATTAAGCATTAGCTCTGGAACCTGGAAACTTGAATTTTAGAACCAACTCTACTGCTTTTCAATTGTGTGGCCTTGCCAAGCTACTAAAGATCTGTTTCAGTGTCCTGATCTGAAAAATGTGAATAATAACAGTACCTACTTCACAGGACTCTGATGATAATTAAATTAATATATGTACAGTATTTGGTACCATACTTGGTACACAATGAATGTCACATAAGTTTTAGTTATTAAGTGTATCCTTTCTCTTGGCTGACCTAGAATTTACATAGAAGTAAATCATATTATCATCAGGGTAAGAGTAGTACATTTAAAGTTCAAAAACACTAAAAATATTAACTAAGAACAAAATTGCTATTAAAACATTCTACAACTACTTGAAACCCCTTTGACTAGAACTGAAGGATATACATCCTCTTTCGTACCCTCTTTGTTATTTTCTACTAGGGGTCGGGGTACTAGGCTCAACTATAATCTCAGCATACGTTTATAGCGCCATAAGTACTTGGGTAAATCTCTCCCCATCTCTGGGTCTTATCTTTAAAATGAGTGATTATGACATTCTAGATGCCTTTCCAAGAGGATAGTATAATTTTAAAAGCTCAGATCTTTGTTTCAGCAAACAACTTTGTTATAAGAGGGGAGGGAAGATTGTGAAAGAGAAGAGAAATATGATAAAAAGACACTTCAAACCACTGAAATAGTCCAAAGGAGAGATGATGAGAGCTACGGGTAGAGCAGCCAGAATAGCTGGAGAGAAGAAAAGATTTCAAGAGGTTACCACAGGCTAGCCTTTCTTTCCAGGGACAGTGAAAAAAACAAAACCATCAAAATTCATGTATTATTTTATTCAACAAGTATTTACTGCGTGAGGTATTATATAGTATCAAGTGACAGTAATTGTATATACTTTTTTAAACATTGGAAATATTCTTCTATAACCATAAAAATAAATATTAACACCCTCATTTAATAAATGTAGACACTATGGCTCAGAGAGGTTACCTAACTTGATTGAAGTCATACTAGTAGATGACAGAATTGATACTTGAATTCAGGGGATAAACAGATAAGATGTCCATGATTTTTACTCTTGAGTTAATCACTAAGATTCCAAAATTCCATAACCCTAAACAAGTCTATTTTCCAAGGGCAAAAAATAAATTTAATGGTAATTATTCAAGTCTTTAAAATTTTGTTTTGTTAAAAAGAGAAAATCAAAAGTATATCCTCTGGCCTCATGTTTAGGACTATAATAAAATGCTTTGTTCCATGAAATAAGCTTTTAGGGATAACTTGTGTTTTCCTTTCTCCTCAGAGACCAGCCATTTACCGCATCTCTAGGCCTTTTGGTTTCAGACCTCTCTTCTGTCATTAAATTAAGTCATCAAGAATGTCCAAGGCTGTTCCATTATTAATAACCTAGACTTGCCTTTTGTCAATTCAATTACTTCTCTCAGGGTCTTGGCTAGTATCTGATTTAAGAAAATCAATATTGAGGGGACAAATGGCCTTTGAACCTCAGAGGGCATAAGCCCCCCCTTTTTTTTCTGAGATTCCAGTTGTCAGATCCATTTCCAGTGAACCTGGAAGCCATACTGCACTTTCAGGTTCTAGATTATTGATAAATACAGAGAGAAAGCTAATAAAGCAATGATGTAAATATGTGAAGCTGGAATAAAGAAATGAGAAATAAAGTGAAACATGCACTGATCATTAACATCCTACTGTGTGCCTAGGAAATTTCCCAGGTATTTTAAATATGCTACATTATTTGTTTACTCCATTTATAAACAAAAGTTGTTTATTTTAGCCCGATTTTAGATGTGAGGAAATTGACACTTAAACAAAGTGGCTTGCCCTCCAAAAATCCCCAAACTATTGGTAGAGCTAGGACTTAAATCTTAGGTGTTTTGGCCATAAAGATCATACCTTCTCTATAATATTACATGGAAACAGTAACATCATTTCTTACCATTCCCTGTTCAAGTATTTTTTATGTTTTCCAGCCATTTAGCAACATCGCTTGTGGTGGAGAGATTCAAAATTATAAGAAAGCAGACAGCGCAGGAAACCCTGAATTTCCATATTTTGTACTTAATCATTAGTTTTTACTCAAAATGAATAAGAAGATGTGGCATCCATAAGATAATGGTAACCACGAAAATAATAATAATTTCTGAGCACACACTATGTACCATATTCTGAATTAAACACTTCATTCACATTAGAACAATGTTTTATATATTAGAATAACCTAATTGTAAATTAGAATCACTAGTATAGCTTTTAAAATGACAGATGCTTGGGCCCCACCCCAGATATTCTGATATTGATGCATTATCTCATTTGTTTTGAGGATAATGAATTTTTTGAGACAGGAACTATTTGTCACCTCTTGTTTACAGATGAGGGACTGGTAATGTGATTAAGTAAACTAAAATCATATAACTAATAAGTAGCAGAGCTAGTATTTAAACCAAGTCTGTTGCCTCAGAGGAATAAGATTATAGACTTTTTAGCCAGTTACCCTTGAGATTGAATCCCAGTTCCCTACACGTTCTGCGAGTTTAGGAAAGGTAATTATTCTTTTTTTTTTGGACATTGTTTACATCCAAAATTGAGATGGTGACAGTATCCTACCACAGTTGTTGTAAGAATCTGTAAGATTATATAAGTAAATCACCTGGCATATTGTATCTAGATCTAAACAGGTGTTCAATATTTATTGAGCGTTTCCTCTTCTCATCAATAAAGCCAGATCTTTTGGTACATTACAATGTCTTTCCTTCTTTCTTTTTATTTTTTCTTTAGATTTAAATTTTTAACCTGAGCTTCTTGTTTCAGTAATACGGTGCTCTATATCAGAGCTCTGTAAATAGTGACCACAGTACACTGTTAGTCTAAGAGTAGGTATAACCTTCAAGGCAGTCATATGTGAGGAATGGAGTACTGCCCATCCTGACCAAGGGGCTCATGGTGCTACTGAAAATGTGAAAGCTCCATTCCAGGTATAGGCCAAAGAGTGGTCCAATGTGGGTAAAGGTATCGTGAACAGCCTGCGTGCAGTCCTAAAGAGTGGCCTTGATTCTGTCTTGTCATATATGCAATACTTTTGTCCAATCATAAGTACATTTCCCATTTAATATTGTTCACGTTAGTTGCAGGGACTATTCTAATGGGATTATAACAAGCTAAAAAAGCTTATGCACAGCAATGAAAACCACTAACAAAATGAAGAGACAACCTCCAGAATGGGAGAAAATATTTGTAGACTATCCATCCTACAAGGGATTAATAAACAGAATATATAAGGAACTCAAACAACTCAATAGCAAACAAAAAAAATTAAAAAATGGGAAAAAGACCTGAATAGACATTTATCAAAAAGAAGACATATAAATGGACAATAGGTATATGAAAACATTATCAACATCATTAATCATCAAAAAATGCAAATCAAAACCACAATGAGGTATCATCTCACTGCAATTAGAATGGCTATTATCAAAAAGACAAAAAATAAAATATGTTGGTGAGGATGTAGAAAAAAAGGTACACTCATATATTGTTGGTGAGAATGGAAAGTAGTACAGGCATTATGGAATACTGTATACAAGTTCCTCAAAATACTAAAAAGAGAACTGCCATGTGATCTAGCAATCTCATCACTGGGCATTTATCCAAAGGAAAGGAAATCAGTACATCAAAGAGGTATCTGCACTCCCATGCTTACTGCAGCATTATTCACAATAGTCAGGATATGGAATCAACCTAAGTGTGGATCAATGGATGAATGGATAAAAAATGGAATATTATTCAAAAATACATACACAATGAAATGTTATTCAAAAAACAAATTAAATCCTGTCATTTGCAGCAATGGAATGAAACTGGTGGTCACAACATTAAGTGAAACAATCCAGGCATAGAAAGATAAATATTGCATGTTTTCACTCAGATGTGGGAGCTAAAAAAGTAGATTTCATAGAGGTAGAGAATAGAATGCTGATTACCAGAGGCCAGTAAGGAAGTTGGAGGATTAAGAGAAGTTAATTAATGGGTACAAAAATACAGATGGATAGAAGGAATAAATTTTAGTATTTGATAGTACAGTAGGAAAATTATAGTTAATGACAATTTATTATATATTTCAAAATAGGTAGAACAGAATTATAATGTTCCCAACACAGAGAAAAGAGAAATGTTTGAGGGAGAGGGCAAAATGGCTGACTAGACTCAAATAAGTGGAATGGCTCCCATGGAGGGACTAAGATGACTGGCAGGCTTTAAACAGATCTTTAGAGGCAAGGAACTGAGAGTGGATGGAGGAAAGACACACAAACTGGGCTGAAGGGAGAAAGAGCTGGGAACCCTGAACTACACACAGGAACTAATTTTTTTTTTTTTTTTTTTTTTGAGACAGAATCTCATTCTGTCGCCAGGCTGGAGAGCAGTGGCTTGATCTCAGCTCATTGCAACCTCCACCTCCTGGGTTCAAGCGATTCTCCTGCCTCAGCCTCCTGAGTAGCTGGGACTACAGGTGTGTGCCACTATGCTTGGCTAATTTTTGTACTTTTAGTAGAGACAGGGTTTCACCATGTTGGCCAGGATGGTCTCGAACTCTTGACCTCATGTCCGCCTGCCTTGGCCTCCCAAAGGGCTGGGATTACAGGCGTGAGCCACTGTGGCTAGCACAGAACTCATTCTTGAACCACAACAGCTCTGGGGGAATGGAGTCACCCACTCTCACTACCAGCC